>NC_000006.12:103101093-103252608 GCF_000001405.40 Homo sapiens | reverse complement strand
TTAATGATTGCCATTCTAACTGGTGTGAGATGGTATCTCATTGTGGTTTTATTTGCGTTTCTCTGATGGCCAGTGATGATGAGCATTTTTTCATGTGTCTGTTGGCTGCATAAATGTCTTCTTTTGAGAAGTGTCTGTTCATATCCTTCGCCCACTTGTTGATGGGGTTGTTTGTTTTTTTCTTGTAAATTTGTTTGAGTTCATCGTAGATTCTGGATATTAGCCCTTTGTCAGATGAGTACATTACAAATTTTTTTCCCATTCTGTAGGTTGTCTGTTCACTGTGATGGTAGTTTCTTTTGCTGTGTAGAAGCTCTTTAGTTTAATTAGATCCCATTTGTCAATTTTGGCTTTTGTTGCCATTCCTTTTGGTGTTTTAGACACGAACTTCTTGCCCATGCCTATGTCCTGAATGGTATTGCCTAGGTTTTCTTCTAGGGTTTTTATGGTTTTACGTGTAACATTTAAGTCTTTAATCCATCTTGAATTAATTTTTTGTATAAGGTGTAAGGAAAGGATCCAGTTTCAGCTTTCTCCATATGGCCAGCCAGTTTTCCCAGCACCATTTGTTAAATAGGGAATCCTTTCCCCAATTTCTTGTTTTTGTCAGGTTTGTCAAATATCAGATAGTTGTAGATGTGTGGTACTATGTCTGAGGGCTCTCTTCTGTTCCATTGGTCTATATCTCTGTTTTGGTACCAGTACTGTGCTGTTTTGGTTACTGTAGCCTTGTAGTATAGTTTGAAGTCAGGTAGCATGATGCCTCCAGCTATGTTCTTTTGGCTTAGGATTGTCTTGGCAATGCGGGCTCTTTTTTGGTTCCATGTGAACTTTAAAGTAGTTTTTTCCAATTCTGTGAAGAAAGTCATTGGTAGCTTGATGGGGATGGCATTGAATCTATAAATTACCTTGGGCAGTATGGCCGTTTTCATGATATTGATTCTTCCTATCCATGAGCATGGAATGTTCTTCCATTTGTTTGTATCCTCTTTTATTTCATTGAGCAGTGGTTTGTAGTTCTCCTCGAAGAGGTCCTTCACGTTCCTTGTAAGTTGGATTCCTAGGTATTTTATTCTCTTTGAAGCAATTGTGAATGGGAGTTCACTCATGATTTGGCTCTCTGTTTGTCTGTTATTGGTGTATATGAATGCTTGTGATTTTTGCACATTAATTTTTTATCCTGAGACTTTGCTGAAATTGCTTATCAGCTTAAGTAGATTTTGGGCTGACACGATGGGGTTTTCTAAATATGCAATCATGCCATCTGCAAAGAGGGACAATTTGACTTCCTCTTTTCCTAATTGAATACACTTTATTTCTTTCTCCTGCTTGATTGCCCTGGCCAGAACTTCCAACACTATGTTGAATAGGAGTGGTGAGAGAGGGCATCCCTGTCTTGCGACAGTTTTCAAAGGGAATGCTTCCAGTTTTTGCCCATTCAGTATGATATTGGCTGTGGTTTTGTCATAAATAGCTCTTATTTTGAGATACGTCCCATCAATACCTAATTTATTGAGAGTTTTTAGCGTGAAGGGTGTTGAATGTTGTCAAAGGCCTTTTCTACATCTATTGAGATAATCATGTGGTTTTTGACTTTGGTTCTGTTTATATGCTGGATTACATTTATTGATTTGCGTATGTTGAACCAGCCTTGCATCCCAGGGATGAAGCCGAGTTGATCGTGGTGGATACGCTTTTTGATGTGCTGCTGGATTCGGTTTGCCAGTATTTTATTGAGGATTTTTGCATCAATTTTCATCAGGAATATTGGTCTAAAATTGTCCTTTTTTGTTGTGTCTCTGCCAGGCTTTGGTATCAGGATGATGCTGGCCTCATAAAATGAGTTAGGGAGGATTCCCTCTTTTTCTATTGATTGGAATAGTTTCAGAAGGAATAGTACCAGCTCCTCCTTGTACCTCTGGTAGAATTCGGCTGTGAATCCATCTGGTCCTGGACTTTTTTGGTTGGTAGGCTATTAATTATTGCTTCAATTTAAGAGCCTGTTATTGGTCTATTCAGGGATTCAACTTCTTCCTGGTTTAGTTTTGGGAGAGTGTAGGTGTCCAGGAATTTGTCCATTTCTTCTAGATTTTCTAGTTTATTTACATAGAGGTGGTTATAGTATTCTCTGATGGTAGTTTGTATTTCTGTGGGATCGGTGGTGATATCACCTTTATCATTTTTTATTGTGTCTATTTGATTCTTCTCTCTTTTCTTCTTTATTAATCTTGCTTGTGGTCTATCAATGTTGTTGATCTGTACAAAAAACCAGCTCCTGGATTCACTGATTTTTTTGAAGGGTTTTTTGTGTCTCTATCTCCTTCAGTACTGCTCTGATCTTAGTTATTTCTTGCCTTCTGCTAGCTTTTGAATGTGTTTGCTCTTGCTTCTCTAGTTCTTCTAATTGTGATGTTAGGGTGTCAATTTTAGATCTTTCCTGCTTTCTCTTGTGGGCATTTAGTGCTATAAATTTCCCTCTACACACTGCTTTAAATGTGTCCCCTAGATTCTGGTATGTTGTGTCTTTGTTTTCATTTGTTTCAAAGAACATCTTTATTTCTGCCTTCATTTCATTATGTACCCAGTAGTCATTCAGGAGCAGGTTGTTCAGTTTCCATGTAGTTGAGTGGTTTTGAGTGAGTTTCTTAATCCCGAGTTCTAGTTTGATTGCACTGTGGTCTGAGAGACAGTTTGTTATAATTTCTGTTCTTTTACATTTGCTGAGGAGTGCTTTACTTCCAACTATTTGGTCAGTTTTGGAATAAGTGTGATGTGGTGCTGAGAAGAATGGATATTCTGTTGATTTTGGGTGGACAGTTCTGTTGATGTCTATTAGGCCCACTTGTTGCAGAGCTGAGTTCAATTCCTGGGTATCCTTGTTACCTTTCTGTCTCATTGATCTGTCTAATGTTGGCAGTGGGGTGTTAAAGTCTCCCATTATTATTGTGTGGGAGTCTAAGTCCCTTTGTAGATCTCTAAGGACTTGCTTTATGAATCTGGGTGCTCCTGTATTGGGTGCATATATATTTAAGATAGTTAGCTCTTCTTGTTGAATTGATACCTTTACCATTACCTAATGGCCTTCTTTGTCTCTTTTGATTTTTGTTGGTTTAAAGTCTGTTTTATCAGAGACTAGGATTGCAACCCCTGCCTTTTTTTTGTTTTCCTTTTGCTTGGTAGATCTTCCTCCATCCCTTTATTTTGAGCCTATGTATGTCTCTGCACATGAGATGGGTCACCTGAATACAGCACACTGTTGGGTCTTGACTCTTTATCAAATTTGCCAGTCTGTGTCTTTTAATTGGAGCATTTAGCCCATTTACATTTAAAGTTAATATTGTTATGTGTGAATTTGATCCTGTCGTTTTGATGTTAGCTGGTTATTTTGCTCATCAGTTGATGCAGTTTCTTCCTAGCATTGATGGTCTTTACAATTCGGAATGCTTTTGCAGTGGCTGGTACCGGTTGTTCCTTTCCATGTTTAGTGCTTCCTTCAGGAGCTCCTGTAGGGCAGGCCTGGTGGTGACAAAATCTCTCAGCATTTGCTTGTGTGTAAAGGATTTTTTTTCTCCTTTACTTATGAAGCTTAGTTTGGCGGGATATGAAATTCTGGGTTGAAAATTCTTTTCTTTAATAATGTTGAATACTGGCCCCCACTCTCTTTTGGCTTGTAGAGTTTCTGCCGAGAGATCTGCTCTTAGTCTGATGGGTTTCCCTTTGCGGATAACCCGACCTTTCTCTCTGGTGCCCTTAACATTTTTTCCTTCATTTCAGCTTTGGTGAATCTGACAATTATGTGTCCTGGAGTTGCTCTTTTCGAGGAGTGTCTTTGAGGTGTTCTCTGTATTTCCTGAATTTGAGTGTTGGCCTACCTTGCTAGGTTGGGGAAATTCTCCTGGATAATATCCTGCAGAATGTTTTCCAACTTGGTTCCATTCTCCCCATCACTTTCAGGTATACCAATCAGATATAGATTTTGTCTTTTAACATAGTCCCATATTTCTTGGAGGCTTTGTTTGTTTCTTTTTACTCTTTTTTCTCTAAACTTCTCTTCTCGCTTCATTTCATTCATTTGATCTTCAATCACTGATATCCTTTTTTCCCGTTGATTGAATTGGCTACTGAAGCTTGTGCATTCGTCACATAGTTCTCGTGCCATGGTTTTCAGCTCCATCAGGTCATTTAAGGACTCCTCTATACAGCTTATTCTAGTTTGCCATTCATCTAATCTTTTTTCAAGGTTTTTAGCTTCTTTGCATTGGGTTCAAACTTCCTCCTTTAGCTCGGAGAAGTTTGATCGTCTGAAGCCTTCTTCCGTCAACTCGTCAGTCATTCTCCATCCAGCTTTGTTCCGTTGCTGGAGAGGAGCTGCGTTCCTCAGTTGGAAATGCAGAAATCACCTGTCTTCTGCATTGCTCATGCTAGGTGCTGTAGACTGGAGCTGTTCCTATTCAGCCATCTTGGAACTGCCCAATTTTTTTTTTTTTTTTTTTTTTTTTTTTTGAGACAGAGTCTCACTCTTGTCGCCCAGGCTGGAGAGCAATAGCACAATTATGGCTCACTGCAACCTCCGCCTCCCATGTTCAAGTGATTCGCCTGCCTCAGCCTCATGAGTAGCTGGGATTACAGGCACCCACCACCATGCCTGGCTAATTTTTATATTTTCAGTAGAGATGGGGTTTCACTATGTTGGACATGCTGGTCTCAAACTCCTGACCTCTGGTGATCCGCCCACATTGGCCTCCCAAAATGCTGGGATTTTAGGCGTGAGCCACCGTGTCTGGCCGTTTTCAATCTTATAACAGTGATTTTGTAATTTCTGAAAAATTACATTTTATTTATTCTTTTATGGAAAATATTTTGGTGGCATATCTAAGGAATCTTTACCTAATCTATGTGCAATGATTAATTTTACATGGCAACGTTTCTGGCTACGAGGTGCCCACATTAAACATTATTTCTGTGTTTATGTCTATGTGAAGGTGTTTCTGGATAACATTAGGATTTGAACTGCTGGATGTAGTAAAGTAGGTTGCCTTCCTCAATGCGGGTAGGTATCATCTAATCCATTAAAAGCCTGGTATAGAGCAGGCAGAGAGGAAAGAGCAATTTGCCCTACTTTTTCCTGTCTCACTGTTTGAGCTGAAACATCTCATCTCATTTCCTTCAGCTCTTGAACTGGGGATTTATGGCATTGGCTTCCATGGTTCTCAGCCCTTTGGACTTGAACTGAGTTATACTAAAAGCTTTCCTTGGCTTCAAACTAGCTGATCTCATGGGAATTCTCAGCCTCCACAATCATATGTGCCAATTTCTCCACAATCACACACACACACACACACACACACACACACACACACGATATTAATTATGAGAAATTCTACTGATTCTGTTTCTCTGGAGAATCCTGACTAATGCATTAAATTTACAAAGATTCTATATTTTTTTCCTAGAAGTTTTACATACGTCTATGATTTTTGTTTATAGTTCAAGGTATGTATCAAACTTGACTTTTGCGTATGCACATTTAATTATTCTAGCACAATTTGTTGAAAAGGCTATCTTTCTCCAATGCTGTGTCTTGAACCAGTATTAAAAGTATGTCATCCTTATATGTGTCAGTCTATTGCTTGACTCTCTATTCTACTGATCTATTTATTTATCTTTATAAAGCTCTCACAGGTCTTGATTACTATAGCTTTATGATACATCTTGGAAAGACTAATACTGCAACTTTGGTCTTTTTTTCAGAATTGTTTTGCATGTTCCAAGCCTGTTGAATTTTCATTTGAATTTTAGAATATACTTGTCAATTTATACAAAAAAAGCCTGCCAGAATCCTGACTGGAATGATATTAAATCTAAGATCAGGTCAGACGCAGTGGCTCATGCCTGTAATCCCAGCACTTTGGGAAGCAAAGCCGGGCGGATCACGAGGTCAGGAGATCAAGACCATCCTGGCTAACATGGTGAAACCCCATCTCTACTAAAAATACAAAAAAATTAGCCGGGCGTGGTGGTTGGCACCTGTAGTCCCACCTACTTGGGAGGCTGAGGCAGGAGGATGGCGTGAATCTGGGAGGTGGAGGTGGCAGTAAGCTGAGATCGCAACACTGCACTCCAGCCTGGGTGCCAGAGAGAGACTCCGTCTAAAAAAAATAAAAAGTCTAGGATCAAAATGAGAATTGACATTCAAATAATATTGTGTTTTCCTTCATGTTAACTCATTATATATCTCTATTTTTATTTATTATTGTGATACTGCTTGATTATTTGTTAGTGAAGTTTAACTTCAAGACATTATTTATATTTTCAAATTCTTTACCTTTAGAACATATGGGGTAAAGTTATATTAAGTGTCTTAAAGTAGTTTACCTCTAATCCTAACTACTGTGTTATGTCTGGGATGTTTTCAATGGATTATTTTCCTTAATTATGGGCCATACATCCCTGTTTCTTTAAATGCCTGATAATCTTTGATTTTATGCCAGACATTGCAAAAGTTTTGTCATTGTGTTTTGAATTTTTTATTGCTTGTAAATGTTCTAGGTATTTTTTTCTGGTATTTAGTAAGTTACTTAGACATAGCTTGTTCCTTTCAGATCTTGATGTTATGACTGGTTAGGCAGCTGCAGAGAAGTAACCAGGCAGCTAATTATTTCTCATTAATTAGGTATGGTCTTTCTGAGTTTTTAACCTTCTGCCTCATGAATTATGAGTTTTTCTGGTCTTACCAATGAGAGCACACACTGTTTCTGGACCTATGTGTGCACTGGTCATTGTTATCGCTGATCCTTTTTTATAATTCTTTACCCAGCCTCAGGTAGTTTTCTCACATATATGTACGGATCAATATTCTGCTCTTTGAGGGGGACTTCTGTAGATTTCTAGGATTTTATCTCTGTGCAGTTTTCTCCTTTGTGGTACTCTGTGCTGTGAACTCTTGCTACCTAAGTCTCCTGGTAGTCTTAGCTCCATCTCCTCAACTCATGGAACCTGCCAGAATCCTCTTTGCTTTTTGTAAGCACATCCTTTCTAAAATGTAAAAATGATCCTTTAGTTTTCCTACTTAAAATCTATGTTTTATAGTTTGGCATAATTTATAGGAGTTCTCATGATCAGATTCTTGCCTACTCCTCCAAACTTGTGTTGTTGTACTCTGACACACAGAGCAAAAACAAACAAACAAACAAACAAAAAAACAAAACCCGACACACTGCTTACATAATAAAATCTCCTGGGTGGATTTTATTTACATTTTTAAATATATTGTCACACTTACTAAAGGAATGGTTGCCAAAAAAATAAAGATTTTTCATATTCCCTTACCAAACTTTCCCTAATGCTAACATGTTACATAGCCATACTAAAATGATCAATACCAGAGAATTAACATTGTCACATACTTCTCTCTCTCTCTCTCTTTTTTTTTTTTAATTAGATAGAGTCTCGCCCTGTCTCCCAGGCTGGCGTGCAGTGGCACAATCTCGGCTCATTGCAACTTCCACCTCCTGAGTTCAAGTGCTTCCCTGCCTAACCTCCCTAGTGGCTGGGACTACAGGTGCACATCACTACGCCCAGCTAATTTTTGCAATTTTATTAGAGACAGGTTTGTTTTTTTTTTTCTTAGTTTTCTCCTTTCTTAACAGTTGCCAGGTCTTTAATTTTCCTTCACAGCATTGATACTTTAGGAAGTACTGGTCAGTTACTTGGAAAAGCCTATCAATTTGGGTTTTATTGATGCTATTTCTTACTAAAATGAGACAGTGCCATTTTGGAAATAATAATATAAAAATGATATTATTCTTTTCAATGAATGATTTCAGGGACTTCACAATGCCAATTTATTTTATAAGTGGTGATGTTAGCCTTGACTACTTGCTTAAGTTAGTATCTGCCAAGTTTATTCACTTTAAATACTATTTTTCCCATTGTAATTTAAACATATTTTTGGGTACATATAATTAAATTATACAAATGTCCTGTTTGTTTTCAAATTCCCTTCACTATTTTTTTGTTGATATATCATAGGTGTGCATATTTTGGTGGTACATGCAATATTTTGATACATGCGTGCAATGTGTTTTCCCCCACTAATTTTGCCAACCATAGATAACTTTTCCATAAAATAATTATTACACTGGTATTTACTGTGAGTGGTTTCTTCTTTCCCTCTTTTCTTTTAAATTTTCAAGTCAGAATTCTTCTATGGGTAAGAATTCCTTCTCTCTTATTTATTAATTCAATATTTATTTGATTCATGAATTTTTATTATATGGGCTATAATTAAAACTATCATTATTTTATTGTTTAAATTATTTGACCATCAGGATCTACTACAGGTTGACTTCTGTGTTCTTTTGTTATGCTCCTGTCCTTTTGTGATAACTTTTTTACATTCTGGCACCCCAAGATGCTTTAGATATATTTTGTAATTTCCTCACCCTAGCCCTAGATTCAACCATTATTTTAACATGAAACCCTAGTTCTTTTTATTGGAGAATGATGTTTAGAATAAAAGATTGTAATACTAATTGTGCTCATTGCCACTGGAGTACTATTAATACTTGGTCTTGGCCTTCTCAATAGAGAGCTAGGGAATCTATGTATGTATATGAATCCATGCATAATACAAATATCAACATATATTTATTTATCCATCTTTAACCAATCAGTCAATCATCTTGTATCATATAACATATAATTTTTCATGATCAGTTTATACTGACACCTCCAATTCTATCATTTGAGCTTTTTCCATTTCTTATTTTCAACTTCATTCTCAGATACTTAGCCAACTCTTATTTTTATTATCTATATTTATAGCTTTGTTTAATGCTAGTGTGTAATAATTTCATAAATTCTGGCTCATCTCTGAGTATCTATTTTAAAATTTTATTGCACAGATTACAATATATATTTATGTACAGAGTTTTTTGTTTTGTTTTGTCTTTATCTTTAGAAAGTAACTTAGTTTATATTTTGCCTTCCTCATGCCCTTCAGTGTGGTTATGTTACTGATTTGCAATACAATTAGGTTAAATTTTTATTCCTGAATTATATTTTTGTTTTCTTCAATGTGCTGGCAAGTTTTAATGATTTGTTTATGGTCCCAGTTATACAAAAAATGTATTCAGAGATGAGTCACAGACTTGTTGTTCCTACCACTCATTGTCCTTCCCCTCATCTTTCTAACCCTTTTCACCCACTCCTTACCAGGTAATCAACATATGTCTGGAATGTTTTCAATTTCACCTTTTTTCACTTACCTAGCTCTTTCTCTTCATTTATAATAATTATTTTTTAAGTTATTGGGCCTAATCCTAGGCCTGAGATCATGCTGTATAGTACTTAGTTTAATTCTCACAAAACCTTATGAAATAAGTAATATTCCTAGCCCATTTTTAGTAAGAAGGGAACAAAAGCTTAAAGTTGTAAAGTAAGTTGACCAGGGCTTCACAGGTATGTAAATGATCCGGCTCACATTTATATTATTCAGGGCTGTCTGATTTAAATATGTGCTACTATCTCCCAAATATTTTTTAGGACCCAGTAATACTTTTACATTGAGGCCTTTAGTGATCTCCCAGGGCAGCTAGGCATTCTTTCTCTTCATCTACCATGGTCACCTGCTCATACTATTCATGTAACATTTTGAATCCTAATTCTGCCACTTACTATGTTTATGACTTCATGTAATATAGTTAACCCATCTGTACCTCAATTTTTTTATCTGTTACAGTAGTTACTTCACATGGCTGTTGTGAATATTAAATTGGTTAATATTTGTAAAGATTTATATTGCATGTAGAAGATACAGAGTAACAATTGAAAAGTGTTTTAAACAGACCAACTTCTGATTACTAGTTTAATTTTTAAAACATTATTTTTCTACTTCCCACTTTTTATTTTACACTAGATTAAAAAGATTTTTTTGGCCACCCTTGCGATTATTTCCACTGCATAAAAAGTGCCTAGAACATACAGCAGTGTTCAATGTATACTTGAAAAAAAAATTTCATAAAAGTTAAAATATGTTTATAGCATTCTAAAGGTTAAAAAAGATAAAATGAAGTGTTAATTTAGCAATCATTTTAAAGCCAATATTAAAATTAAAATAGAATTAAATATCTGCATTGACATATAAATGTATACTGGGAAAATAGTGTAGTTTTTATTGAAGATTACATGCATTGTAAAATAAATTTCAATTGAAAAATAATTTTTACAGAATGATTCCTGGATTTTCTTTTTCCTGATTTAAAAATTGTGAAAAGAGTTAGCCTTTTTTATAAGGATTTGGAGGTGAATCATTACATACTGCTGGCTCCCCTTCTGCCAACATCAATAAAACAATAAAGCTCTTTGGCTTTGGGAGCCTGAGGGACAGCCATGAACCTGAACTCGATGCCCTTCTCAAAATTGGTTCCTGAGAAAACTCTGGAGTGAGCCACAAAAGAAAGAGAGTAAAATATCTGTCTTAACCAGACTTTCTGGATGTCAAAAGGTCAAATATTACTGTATAGATAGATATTTGAACCTTTTACACAAAACGAACTGTTACATTCCATGAGTTGTTCAGGCTCTTTATCTCTGTTCACACTGGGGAGGAAAGGTAAACAAATATCTTTACATATTTAATATTAAGGAAAATGAAAATGAAATGATATTAGGTATATTTAATGTATGCTTTATTTAATATTTTTAATTGTATAAATGTGGGGATACAATTGCAATTTTGATACATGGATTTGTTATGTAGTAGATAAGTTTGGGCTTTTAATGTAACCACTATCCAAATAGTGCACATTATACCCACTAAGTTATTTCTCATCCCTCACCTTCCTCCCACCCTTCCAAGTCTCCAATATCTATGAGTCTACTCTCTATGTCCATGTGTACACCTTATTTAGCTCCAACTTATAAGTGAGAACATGTAGTATTTGATTTCCTGTTTCTGAGTTATTTCACTTAATGGCCACTAGTTCTATCCATCTTTCTGCAAAATACATTATTTCATTTTTTTTGGCTGAGTAGCATTCCATATGTGTGTATGTGTATGTTTTGGCTGAGTAGTGTATGTGTATATTTTGGCTGAGTAGTTTTCCATGTGTGTATGTGTGTATATACATATATAACATTTTATTTATCCAATTATCCATTTAAAAATGTATTAGTCCATTTTCACACTGCCAAGAAAGACATACCCAAGACCGGGCAATTTACAAAAGAGGTTTAATAAACTCACAGTTCTAAGTGGCTGGGGAAACATCACAATTATGATGGAAGGTGAAAAGCACATCCCACATCAAAGCAGGCAAGAGAGAGAATGAAGGCCAAGCGAAAGGGGTTTCTCCTTAAAAATCCATCAGATCTTGTGAGACCTTTTCACTACCATAAGAACAGTATGGGGAAACCACATCCATGATTCAATTATCTCCTACTGGTCCCTCTCACAACATGAGGGAATTATGGGAGATATAACTCAAGATGAGATTTGGATAGGGACACAGCCAAACCGTATCATTCCATTCCTGGCCCCATGTCCAACATCTCATCTGAGACAAGACAAGTCGTTTCTGCTATGAGTCTGAAGAATCAAAAGCAAGTTTGTTATTTTCTGGATACAATGGGGGTACAGGCTCTGGGTTAATACAGCAATTCCAAATGGGAAAAATTGGCCAAAACAAAGGGGCTACATGCTCCATGCAAGTCCAAAAGTCAGTGAGCAGTCAAATATTAAAGCTCCAAATGATCTCCTTTGACTCCATGTCTCACATCCAGGCCATGCTGATGAAAGAGGTGCTTCCCAAGGTTATGTGTAGCTATGCCCCTGTTGCTTTGCAGGGTAAATCCTCCCTCCCAGCTGCTTTCACAGGCTAGCATTGAGTGTCTGCAGCTTTTCCAAGTGCGTGGTGCAAGCTGTCAATGGATCTATCATTCTGGGGTCTGGAGGAGGGTGGCTGTCTTCTCATAGCTCTACAGGCAGTGCCCCAGTGGGCACTCTGTGTGGGAGCTCCAACTCACATTTCCCTTCCACACTGCCCTAGCAGAGGTTCTCCATGAGGGCCCTGCCCCTGCAGCAAACTTCTTCTTGGACATCCAGGCATTTCGATACCTCTTCTGAAATCTAAGTGGAGGCTCCCAAACCCCAGTTATTGGCTTGTGGGAACTCAAAGACTCAACATCATGTGAAAGCTGCCAAGGCTTTGGGCCTGCACCGTCTGAAGTCGCAGCCTGAGCTGTACCTTGGCTTCTTTCAGCCACAGCTGGAGCAGTTGGCATTCAGGGCACCAGGTTCCTAGGCTGCGTACAGCATGGGGACCCTGGGCCCAGTCCATGAAACCAATTTTCCTCCTAGGCCTCTGGGCCTGTGATAGGAGGGACTGCCATGAAGACCTCTGACATGCCTTGATACATTTTCCCCATTGTTTTGGGAATTAACATTTGGCTCTTTGTTACTTATGAAAATTTCTGCAGCTGGCTTGAATTTCTCCTCAGAACATGGGATTTTCTTTTCTGTCACATTGTCAGGCTGCAAATTTTCCAAACTCTTATGCTCTGTTTCCCTTTTAAAACTGAGTGCCTTTAACAGCACCCAAGTCACCTGTTTAATGCTTTGCTTTGCTGCTTAGATATTTCTTCTGCTAGATACTCTAAACCATCTATTTCCATTTCAAAGTTTCACAAGTCCTTAGGGTAGGGGCAAAATGCTGCCAGTCTCTTTGCTAAAACATAACAAGAGAAGTTCCCAATAAGTTCCTCATCTACATCTGAGACCACCTCAGCCTGGATTTCATTGTGTGTATCATTATCAGCATTTTGGTCAAAGCCATTTAACAAGTCTCTAGGGAGTTCCAAACTTTCCCACATTTTCTTGTGTTCTTCTGGGCCCTCCAAACTCTTCCAGCTTTTGCCTGTTACTGAGTTTCAAAGTTGCTTCCACATTTTTGGGAATCTTTTTAATAGCGCCCCACTCTACTGATACCAATTTACTGTATTAGTCTGTTTTCATGCTGCTGATAAAGACATACACAAGACTAGGCAATTTACAGAAAAGGAGGTTTAATGGACTCACAGTTCCATGTGGCTGATGGGCCTTACAATCATGGCAGAAAGTGAAAGGCACATCTCACATTGCAGCAGGCAAGAGAAACAATGAGAGCCAAGCGAAAGGGGCTTCCCCTTATAAAGCCATCAGCTCTCGTGAGACCTTTTCACTACAATGAGAACAGTATGTGGGAAACCGCCCCTCTGATTTAATTGTCTCCTACTGGGTTTCTCCCACAACAAGAGGGACTTACGGGAGCTACAATTCAAGATGAGATTTTGGTGGGGACACAGCCAAACCATATCAAGCAATATTTAGGTTGATTCCATACATTTGCTACTGTGAATAGTTCTGTGATAAACATACAAGTGAAAATATCTTCCTGATATAATGATTTTCTTTCTTTTGTGTAGATACCCAGTAGTGAGGTTTCTGGATCAAATGGTAGTTCTGTTTTTAGTTCTTTGAGAAATCTCCATATTTTTTTTCTATAGAGATCGAATTATTCTACAATCCCACCAACAATGTATAGACATTCCCTTTTCTTCACAATCTTGACAACATCAGTTAATATTTTGACTTAGAAAATTATTTTAAACTCAGAGGAGATGTGTGCATGTTTGTTACGTGGGTACATTGCATACTGTTGGGGGTTGGTCTTCTAGTGTACCTGTTACCCAAATTTGATGTTTTATTAATAGCCATTCTTACTGGTATAAAATGGTTCTCACTGTAGGTTATTTTGCATTTCTCTGGTCATTAGTGATGTTAAGCATTTTTTCATATGTCGTCTTTTCTGATTGTACTTATCTGAATCTTCTCTTTTGTTTTGGTTAGCAATCTATCAGTTTTGTCTCTCTTCCCAAGAACCAAATTCTCATTTCATTGATGCTTTTATTGATTTTTTCAGTCTCAATTTCATTAGCTCTGCTCCAATCTTTTTTATTTCTTTTCTTCTGCCAGCTTTGAGTTTGGTCTGTTTTTGTTTTTCTAGTTCCTCGAGATACAGTATTAGGTTGTTAATTTGAAATCTATCTTTTTGATTTAGGCATTTAACAGTATGAACTATTTTCAGTACCATTTTCACTGTATCTCGGAAGTCTTGGTATATTTTGTCTCTATTTTCTTTCATTTCAAAAAAATATTTGATTTTTGCCTTAACATCATTGTTTACCAAGCATCATTCAGGAACAGGTTGTTTAATTTTCCTGTCAGTTAATAATTTAGAAAGTTCCTCTTGGTATTGATTTCCAGTTTTTTTCCACTGAGAAGTGGTCTGAGAAGATACTTGACAGGATTTTGATACTTGGGAATTTATGTAGACTTGCTTTATGGCTAAGTATATGGTCTATTTTGGAGAATGTTCCATGCACAGATAAGCAAAATCAATATTCTGTTGTTTGGGGGTAGAATGTTCTGTAAATGTGTATTTGATCCATTTGGTCTACAGTCTTGTTTAAGTCCAGAGTTTCTTTGTTGATGTTCTACCTTGGTATCTGTCTAGTGTTGTCAATGAGGTATTGAAGTACCAATTATTATTGTATTGTTGTATTGTTGTCTCTTTTCTTAGTGGTATTTGTTTTATGGGTCTGAGTGTGAGTGCTCTAGTGTTGGGTGCATATAAAGCTGGGCAAGGGCATGACAAAAAAGAAAACTATAGGCCAATATTTCTGATGAACACAAATCCTCACAAAATACTAGTAAGCCAAATTCAACACCATATCCAAAAGATAATACATCACAATCAAATGAGTTTTGGTCCAAGGATGCAAGGATAGCTCAACATTTACAAATCAATAAATGTGATTCATCACATAAATTCAAAACAAGAAAAAATATATAATCTTTTTAATAGATCCAGAGAAAGCATTTGATAAACTTCAGCGTCCCTTCATGATAGAAATCCTCAAGAAACTAAGAATTGAACGAATATATTTCAAAATAATAAAAGCTATATAGGACAAAATCACAGGTAACATCATACTGAATCAGAAAAGGCTGAAAACATGCCCCCTAAAAGCTGGAACAAGAGGAGGATGCCCAGGTCCTCACTCCAATTCAACATCATACTACGAGTCCTTGCCAGAGCAATCAGGCAAGAAAAAGAAATTAAAGACATCCAAATCATAAAAAGAGAAAGTCAAATTGTCTCGGTTAACTGACAATATGATCTGTATTTAATATTTAAGAAAAACCATTTTGCAGTAGTTAAAAAAAAACCTACAGTGTAACCATCAACAATGAGCTGCTTCTCTCTTTCTCCTTTCTTTTCCAGCTTTTTAAAATCAGATGCATGAGAACACTAATATTGTTATGAATAATCAAGACCTTGTACTGTAGGAGAGGACACTGATAATAGCTGTAGTTCCTAAGGGGAGCTAACCTCACTTAGCAAGTTCTGCCTCAGAGAAGGCCATTGTTAGATTCCTCAGTGTTTGCAGAGCCAACATGTGATAAGATGTAACTCTATACTTCCTGAGACAGGCTGTGCTGTTTACTGACCAAGTATTCTGGGACCAAATATGAAAACTGTTTAGTGAAAGAATAATCTGATTTTGGCCATTTAGAAAAGCACTATTAATTCTAGAAAAGTCAGTTTTGTTACTATTGATTAAAGTGAGTCCAGGGATTTATTTCAATTAAATTTTAAAAGTACTTATAATTCTTGTTGTTCAGAGAATCTATGGTACCCTCCTAATCCTTAAATGACAAGGATAATTGCAACTTCACATTTTGCATGTGCAAGAAATGTTACCTAATGTTTCCCCACCCACAATAAAAATTACTGACTCTAAACAACAGATTAAATAGAAAAAATTTGTTTCAGTTACCAACAGAGTTCTATTTTATATTACTAATTCTTAGTAATGTATATATATAATTTATTTCTAATATATTTATATTTATAGTTAACATTTATGTTTACTTCTGTTTGTATTATAATACTTAGATCATGCAAAGGCTCTATGTTGGGTTCAGCAAAATGTCAGGAAAAATCTCCTGGGTTACTACAAGGTATCACAAGGTTGAACTTGAATTCAGAGAGTTTTGCAGTTTCTGTGCTACTATATTTTACACACAATAATTCTGACATACTGAGCACCTTACCTCTTCAGGTGTGCTGTAAAACCAGCCAGGCCTTCTGAGGTCTAGTTCCCCACACAATTCAGGTGATCCTGCCATTGAGTTAGTAGAAACCCAGTCCTCACATAGAGAACAATATATCGTTTTATTCTTTGTGCAAAGTTTTTCTTTGCAGTCCATTTTTCTTTTGCTGTATGTTTTTGCTTTTTTTTTTTTATCTTGGTTTGGATATTCAGCTTTGTTTTATTTTGTTTTCTGTTTTTCAAATAATTTACTTACAGAGAGATATTGGAAAGCAACTATGTTTACATAATTTTCAACATACATAAAACATGAAAAGATTTTGTTAGTTTATGTCTGTGGGAGTGTGAGCAGTTGTGCCATAAATATATTGATTTTGAAATGAAAGTAATGTGATTGATTAATTAAAACATAGGTATTCTTCATAAAGTAGGGATTAGGACAGACATTGGGAGATAGCTGCTAATGAACCAATCTTTTTTAAAATTTATTATTATTATACTTTAAGTTCTGGGGTACATGCAGAACGCGCAGGTTTGCTACATAGGTATACACATGCTATAGTGGTTTGCTTCACCCATCAACCCATCGTCTACATTAGGTATTTCTCCTAAAGCTATCCCTCCCCTAGCCCCCCACCCACTGACTGGCTCCGCTGTGTGATGTTCCCCTCCCTGTGTCCATGTGTTCTCATTTGAACAAATCTTTTCTTAAAATTTTTGTCCCTTCTATTTTCTAGTTGTCTTATAAATTTAGAGGGAGGAGTCAATAAGATAGCATTTAAATATTAAATTTTTCAGTGTAAGAAATATATAGTTTATAAATAAAATATTTTATAGTATATGTTCATTTGCTGTAACTCTTATGAATACATAGGATGGATTTTGCACTAGTTATTGGAATTATAGGCATAAAACATTATGGAATAGTCCTCAAGTGCCCAAAGTTTAATAGTGAAGAAATAATTGAACCTTTCTACATATGTAAATTTAACTTTCTTTTTCTTTTTTTTCTTTTTTCTTTTTCTTTTTTTTTTAGAAGGAGTCTCGCTCTGTTGCCCAGGCTGGAGTGCAGTGGCCCTTAGAATTATTCTCAGGTTTATTATAGAATTCAACTGATTCCTTTCCCTACTGAATTTATCGATGATAGTCTACCTACCTATAGTTAGAAGTTTTCCTCTGATCTTAAATTTAACTCTTACCAAATATCTAGAAATTTGAATTATTTATTATTCTCTTTTAAAGGAATAAAGCTTATATTTTTTAGTGCGTGTTAGGCTATGCAGATAGCCTAGCTAGGCATAGTGGCCTAGGCTAATTTTTTGCATGTGCCTAGTGGAATCGCATGGTGTATGTGTACTTAATGAAAACTTTTTGATGATTTATGATGATACATTTTGCATGCCTAAAATATACAAAAAAATTAGTTATTTAATACTTTTTTGAAGTATTTTTTGTGATTTTTTTTTAAAGTTTTAAAATATGAGTGTATGGTTAAAGCCAGTCATAACACAGCTGGCACTGAATTCCCAAGGTGTTTACTCCCTAGGGAAAGCAGCATTTTTATGACAACTCTGCTTAACATACACAACCATTTTTCCCCAGTAAGAAATAATATATATTTTTTAAAATGTGATATACAGTAGAAGACATGATAGTTCATATGGTTTACAGAAACATGTTCTTAGATATTTTAATTTCTAGGACTTGTCACAGACCTCAGTAATTATTTCTACTCTTCCCCCAAACTGTCAAAGCAAGTTTTAAAAATTTCATTTAATCTGTATTAACAGTGTTCAGCTTTCATTTTACTCAATAGTAAGATAGATTCAGTGACAGATTATATTGTTACATTTTAAGTATTTCATCTCTCCATCTTTGATCTTCTTGTCTTTTTCTCTCCTATTCCTAATCTTTGTTAATAACATTGCCATTCTTTCTTTCATGAGAATCAAAACCTTAAAGTCATGTTTGACCTCTCACTCACCCCCTAACCCTTATATAATTGACTGCCAATTTCTGACAATTCTACTTCTTCACCTTCTTTCAATCTCAACCTCTTATTTCTATTTCTATCCCTATGACCACACTCCAAGCCTTCCATCACTTTTATCTGGGTTTTTGACATCCTCTGAATATTTTCTGTTATTCAAAGCTATATTTTCTTATGCTGCAGACAGATTTTTCTTTTTAAATCAAATCCATGATCAAGTAATCCTCCTTTTCAAGAATGCATAATTGTTTTTTGTACAGTATATAATAAAATGCACAGATTTCAATCTTTCATTTAATATATTCAAGAGCCTAATTCAAGTCAACATTTTATTGTTTTTATGTTTTTAGTTACATTTGCTGGATGTTTTATTGTAAATAAAATGCCTGTTAAGGAGATTTGAAAACATAAACAGTACAAAAAAGAATATAATCTTTATTTATAATTCTACTATAAAGAAATACCATAACCTCACTTTTACTTCTAGATTTTTGCATGAATGGTGTAAAAGATACCAGCATGACTATTCACAATTTTACTTTTTTAAAATTTATATAAGTTTTCTTGGAAAAATGATTTTAATTGAAGACTATTACAGCTTCTATAATGATCATATATGATCATAACAAGATACATAACCTTTTTTCCCATGGTTCTTATTTTGTAAATCACATTTTTCAAAATTATATTTTATTTTCACATGTATTGCCTTATGAAATAATAGAGTAGTAATTCTGTTTTCAATAGTTTATACTTGTATTTCCAACTTCTTGTTTCTTGAGTTACTAATTTTGATTCAGTTCTTGAAATTTCTTAGTTTTCATAGCAATATCAACCTAAAGTTGCGGGAGCAATTCTCTACAGAAAAGCAAATACATATTTTGTTTTCTATGCTCTCCTATATTAAATGCCTTTCAATTGTCTGTATTGTTAAACAAAATTTTATTTGTACATAAAAAATCTTGGAGTTAGACATTGAGCCTCAAAATATTTATTGGTAATGCACATTGTGTTATGTTATTTATAGGAGTCTTAAGGCAGGAATGATTTTTGTTTTTTTGATCATTGAAATTTTATTTTTATTTTTGCTTTCTGATTGCTATAACATATTTTAACCTTATAATTAAAACATTTGATAATAAGAGTTTGGCTTACGGATCACTTTTAGTTGACTTTATATGAATCAATGAGGGTTTTCAATTTCCTATATCGCTTGTTTTTATTTCTTTTTCCCCCTCTGCCTGTCAATAGACTAATATTTTCCTCTAAAAGGTAACTGATAGATAATTGGTGTTTGATGTGTGAATGATACCCTAAGTCTGGTACGCCTTTGTATACAACACAAAAAGCAATATGCCTACTCATTTTCTGTTGCCTGTTATTGTAATGAATAATTAGATGCACCTTCCACACTATTTTGTATGTGAAAGCCATCCACACATATTTATAAGATTTTAATCAGCTTTTCATCTGAACATAATATATTTGAGTACGTTTTATTTCAAATGCCAGAGGTTTTCTGGCATTTGAAATAAAAAAAAATATATGTAAATATTTTCTTACTACTGGCCAAGAAAATAACTCAGTGTTCCTTGAAAATTTCTACTTTAAGAAAATGAGAAATACTCTTCTTAACTAACTGATGCTTTAAAGTAGTATCTCTAACAAACTCCCGTAATGCAGAGCATGATGAGTGGATGTAGAAAGTGCACTAAATTGGGAACTGGCCCCTAAATTCTAAAGCGAAGACTGTCACTACCATTTACATGCTGCTTATCAGTCAACCAATATGATGGAATTTCAAGTTTCTCATCTTTAGAACAAGTAGGCCGGGCGCGGTGGCTCACGCTTGTAATCCCAGCACTTTGGGAGGCCGAGGCAGGCGGATAACGAGGTCAGGAGATCGAGACCACCGTGAAACCCCGTCTCTACTAAAAATACAAAAAATTAGCCGGCCGTGGTGGTGGGCGCCTGTAGTCCCAGCTACTCAGAGAGGCTGAGGCAGGAGAATGGCATGAACCCGGGAGGCGGAGCTTGCAGTGAGCCGAGATCGCGCCACTGCACTCCAGCCTGGGCGACAGAGACTCTGTATCAAAAAAAAAAAAAAAAAAAAAAAAAAAAAAACAAAAAAAAAAAAACAAGTAATGTGTAAGGGTTTTTTAATGTTAACACTCAACCAAGTAGTATTTTTGAACTGTTTTTTAATTGAATGTAACTACCTATTATTTTCACATTTTGTGTTTTCTGCTATCTGCTCTTAAGACATGCCATAATTTTCCCTAAGAAATTGAACCCATGTAAGTATTTTATTTTATTCTTCTCACATGTCTGATTTCAGCTTCTGGACGTCTCTAATATTTTTTTAATTTCAAGTTTTAGAGTTGGCCCCATTCATTTTCTGATTTTAAGCATTGTTGCAATATTATAAAATATACATAGAATAGACTTTGGTTAAGACAGCATATTAAATAAGGTAAACAATAGCATAAATGGCCCTCAAAGTTCCTAGAATGGAGAAATCATACACTCACAAAATTTGAATTTGTCTGGTTGGTTCTTTGCAAAAATTTACTGTAACATGTGTGCTTTGCTGTTCTTTATTTTGACACCTAAATGTTCAGAAAAACATTAGCAAACATTAAGTATTTTCCTGTAACTCTTCTTTCTGTCACACAAAAAATAAGTACATCTTGCCTTAGTTAAGTTTAGTTATGTTATTTTGTTTAAATACTGCTAGCTATGATTTTAAGAAAGCATTCTCACACTTTACAATTACCCATGCAAGACTTATGACTATTCTAACAAAACTATTTAATACAATGTACAAACTTGTTACTTCCTTTTTCCGGGAAGTTAGAATCTTATAAAAAATTGAGTAAGAACTTTCCCCACAACTTTATATAAGGAGTTTTATTAACAGAAAATATTGGATAGTAAGTATATAAAAATCAAAATGTAAACAATAAATAAGCATAAAATTTACTTGATTGACACTTAATATAAAACTTAGTCAATAAAACTTTGAAAATCTCTCAAACAGGATCTCTTTGAGAGACATAAAACTTGATGAAATTTGCTTACTTTGCTTTTCTCATTAAAACTGGTATAAAAATAATTGCAAGTGCTAGCCATTTTTCTGTGTGCTTGCATTAAAATCTGTTTGACTTTATACTCACAATGAATCTCTGCTTTAAAGTAGAGAGATGTTCACCTGGAACCCAGGAGAAGAATTACTGTTAGACATCTGAAGTCTAATGATTGATGAACATAACACTCTTCTCAAATTCAATTTTAGATCTGAGTTGATGGCTCTACTCCTGGAGCAAACACCTTAGGGCTAGATAGCACTTTTCTCCGAAGTTTTCACATATTAGGAAAAAGGTGCAGATCTGTCATTTACAGCAAAAGGAGATTTTTTTTTTTTTCTCAACTCAGGGAAACTACAGTGACTACTTCGTAAGTCATTAGCAGATTATCTTCTCATATCTATATTCTCATATCTATACTTTTATTGTTAGACAGTTCTTTCCATGACAGAATTAATCTCAGATGAGTTTATGTGTTTTTTTTAAATTGGCCAGAAAATGTTGTTTTAAAATTTTTAAAAATGTGATTTCATAATACAATGCAATTTTTGTTTTGTTTTGTTTTGTTTTTTGAGACCGAGTCTCGCTCTGTCGCCCAGGCTGGACTGCAGTGGCGTAACCTCAGCTCACTGCAAGCTCCGCCTCCTGGGTTCACGCCATTCTCCTGCCTCAGCTTCCCGAGTAGCTGGGACTACAGGCACCTGCCACCATGCCCGGCTAATTTTTTGTATTTTTTTTTAGTAGAGATGGGGTTTCACCGTGTTAGCCAGGATGGTCTCGATCTCCTGACCTCGTGATCCGCCCACCTCGGCCTCCCAATATGCTGGGATTACAGAAATGAGCCACCGTGCCCAGCCAATACAATGAAATTTTATGGATTATTTATAAACATTTCTTATGTACTTAATCACAAAAAGTAACTTATTGGATAGGAAAAATGTGCAGTGTAGTTAATATTTTTAGTGTATAGCTGAAAATTGTTAATTACTATTCAGCGGAAAATTAAATTAAAAAAGTAAAATAGCATTATTAAAATTATTCAGAGAAACAATGAAAAAACATTTAGATTAAATATTATGAAATAATAAAATCCCACTCAAAGGAAAATGTACAGTCTTCTCTCTCTCTCTCTCTCTCTCTCTCTCATTTATTTTTTTGAGATGGTCTCTTGCTCTGTTGCCCAGGCTGGAGAGCAATAGCGTGATCGTGACTCACTGCAGCTTCAAGCAATTCCTCACCTCAAGAGATCCTCCTACCTTAGTCTCCCAAATACCTGGGACCACAGGCACACATCACCATGCCTGACTAATTTTTGTGTAAATTTTGTAGAGAGAGAGGTCTCGCCTGGTTGCCCAGGCTGTTCTCAAACTCCTGGGCTCAAGTATATATAGTTATTACATTTTAGAAAGTAGAAAAATAATAGCAAAATAAGAAAAACATGTGGAAGGAGAGTTTTAATAAAATATATTGAAAATAATTTGTTAAAGAACAGGAGATATAAAATTATAAAATAAAGTCAATAACAGGTCCATCCAAAAATGGATAAAACAAACAGCCCCCTGGTAATAACTTTTCTAAAATGCTTGATTAAAATAAAATTCATAGACCTCAAAATTGTCTGATTTAAAGTATAAAATCAATTTTAAGTGCATTTACAAAGTGTGCAAACATTACCACAATCTAATTTTTTAGTTTCTCTAAAGGAAATTTCATACACATAAACAGTAACTGCTTTCTACCCTCTCCTCCAGGCACAAAAATCCAGTAACTTTTTTGCTGTCTCTCCGTATTTGCTTATTCTGAGCATGTAATAAAAATGGAATTATACAATATGCAGTATTTTGTGACTAGATTCTTTCACTTACATTGTGTATTCTAAGTTCATGTAATGATATGATCACCTGATTTTTCTTCTTACAGCTTATTGGTATGAAGTACAGTAATTGATTTTTGAATATAGAACTTTGCATAGCTATCGTATTTGCTTGTGGTATATATTTTTTAGTAATTTATTGGAAATTAGAGTAAATTTGCCAATATATTGCTAAGGGTCTTTTAATTTATGTTCAAGAGAAATATTGGTCTATGGTTTTTCTTTTTTTTTAATCTGTTTTTGATATTAGGGCAACAGTAGCTGTATTAGTCCATTCTCACACTTCTATAAAGAAATACCTGAGACTGAGTAATTTATAAATGAAAGAGGTGTAATAGACTCACAGTTCCACATTGCTGGGGAGGCCTCTGAAAACTTATAATTGGGGCAAAAGGCAAAGGAGAAGCAGACACTTTCTTCACAGGGCAGCAGAACAGAGTGAGTGCAAGCAGAGGAAATGCCAGATGCTTATGAAACCATCAGATCTCGTGAGACTCACTCATTATCAGGAGAATAGCATGGGGTAAACCACCCCCATGATCCAATTACCTCCACGTGATCCCACCCTTGACATGTGGGGACTATGGGTATTAAAATTCAAAGTGAGATTTGGGTGGGGGAAACAGAGACAAACCATATCATTCTGCCCAGTCCCCTCACAAATCTCATGACCTCACATTTCAAAACACAATTATGGTCTTCTAGCAGTCCTTCAAAATCTTAACTCATTTCAGCATTAACTCAGAAGTCCAAGTCCAAAGTCCCATCTGAGACAAGGCAAGTTCCTTCCACCTATGAGCCCATAAAATCAATATTAAGTTAGTTACTTCCTATATACAATAGAGGAATGGTAAATAGAGGCATTGGGTAAATACACTCATTCCAAATGGGAGAAATTGGCCAAAACAAAGGGGCTACAGGTCTCATCCAGATCCAAAATCCAATAAAGCAGTCAAATCTTAAAGTTCTGAAATCATCATTTTGGCTCCATGTCTCACATCCAGGTCATGTGAATGCAAGAGGTGGGCTCCCAAGGCCTTAGGCAGTTCCACTCCTGTGGCTTTACAGGGTACAGCTCCTCTCCTGGTTGCTTTCACAGGCTGGCATTGAGTGTCTCCGGCTTTTTCAGGTGCATGGTGCAATCTGTCAGTGGATTTACCATTCTGGAGTCTGGAGGGATGGTCGCCTTCTTCTCACAGCTCCACTAGGCAGTGCCCCATGGAGGACTCTATGTGGGGGCTCTGACCCCACATTTCCCTTCCTCACTGCCTCTATGAGGGCTCCACCCCTGCAACAAACTTCTGCCTGTATATCCAGGCATTTCCATACATCCTCTGAAATCTAGGCAGAGGTTCCCAAACCTCAATTCTTGACTCCAGCATATCCACAGGCCAACACCACGTGTAAGCTACCAAGGCATGGGGATTGCACTCTCTGAAGCAATGAATGGCCTGACCTGCACATTGGCTCCTTTTAACCACTGCTAGAAAGCAGGGCACCAATTCCCAAGACTGCACAAAGCAAGAAGGCCTGGGGCCTTAGGCCTCTAGGCCTGTGATGGGAGAACTGCCATGAAGGCTTCTGACATGCCCCGGAGACATTTTTCCCCATTGTCTGGATGATTAACATTTGGCTCCTTGTTACACAAATTTCATCAGCACGCTTGAATTTTTCCCCAGAAAATGGGTTTTTCTTTTCTATCACATTGTCAGCCTGCAAATTTTCCTAACTTTAATGCTCTGTCAACTCTTAAGAGCTTTGCTGTTTAGGATTTTATTCTACCAGATACCCTAAATCATCTCTCTCAAATTCAAAGTTCCACAAATCTCTAGAGATCTCTAGAAATATTTGAGATCAATTCAAATATTTATAATTTTCTTGTAGTGAGAATATTCAAAATCCTATCTTCTAGCTATTTGGAAATATGAAATATTGTTAACCGTATTCACCCTGCTGTTAAATATAATACCATAATTATTTCTCCAATTTAACTGTATCTTTGTAACCATTGACCAATCTCTTCCTTTCCCACCAGCCCTCTCCCCATCATAGTTTTTTCCATAGTTTTTTCTCCCCATCACAGCTTTTTCACTCTAGGTTTTCAGCTAGTGAGAGAAAGTGTTACAGCTCGTTTACTCCCACCACTGGCAAGCTCCAGGTTCTTGTCCCACAACCAAGAATAATAAGCCACATGCACACCAGAGAGTGAGTAATGCAGAGTTGGATTTATTAAGCAGCAGAGAAGCTCTCACCAAGGAGAAGGGATCTGAGATAGGGTTTCTGGCTGTGAGGCTAAGTTCAGGGTTTTTATACACTTGGAAGGAGGAGGAATGCACTGATTGGTCTGCGGGCCAACTTGGAGGAAGCACCAATCAGAAAGAGACATGTTAGTGGAAAGAACCAATTGAAGGCAGAGGTAAAGGCTCAGCCTACAACCAATCAGGGGCTGGAGGAATGTTACACTTTATGCAAACTAATGTTCGGCCCATGACCAAACACAGAAATATAGGTATATGTAAAATAAGTGAAAGATAAGGACCAGTTGGGAGGAAGTGTGTGAAACGAGACAGAGGGGTAAGCCAAGGAGAGGGAAATGTGTCCAAAACAGGAGTGGAATTTGTTCATCTGGGTTCAAAGAGTAGGCATTTCCATCCAAGAATGCAGACTCTTTCTTATCTTATGGGGCCTGCAGTTTTATTTTCAGGCTGTTCCTAGTTTAAAGGAGTTTTACTGAGGACCCACTCTAACTGCCTGCCTGACGGTTTCTTTCTTTCTCCTCTCTCCCTAGCCTCTGGAATCACTATTCTATTCTCTACTTTTATGAGAACAAAATTTTTAGCTCCCACATATCGATAAGGTCATGAAATATTTGTCTTTTTTGTGCCTGGTTTAACTTAACATAATTTTCTTCATGTTCAACCGTGTCTCAAATGACAGCATTTCATTTTTTAATGGATGAATTATATTCCATTGTGCATCTATACATTTTGTTTATCCATTGATCCACTGATGGACACTTAGGTTGATTTCAAATTTTGGCTATTGTGAATAGTGCTTCAATAAACATGGGGTGCAGGTATCACTTCAACACATTAACTTCCTTTCTTTATAATATATACTCAGAAATAGGATTGCTGGATACTATGGCAGATCTAGTTTTGGTTTTTTGAGGAATTTTCATATTATTTTCCTTAGTAGTTTTACTAATTTAGATTCCCATCTGTGGTGTTCAGACATTCTTTTTTCCACGTTTATGTCAGCATTTGTTTCATTTTGCTTTTCAATATACCCAATTTAATAATTGGGTGGTGGTGTCTCATTGTGGTTTTGATTTGCATTTTCCTGATGATTGCTGACATTAAACACTTTTTTCAAATATTTATTAGTCATTTGTATGTTTTCTTTGAAGAAATGTCTAGTCAGTCTTTTGTCCACTTTTAAAAATAAATTATCATAATAATAATTATTGTTTGCTATTGAGTTCTTTATATATGTTGAATATTAAACCTTTTTCAGATACATAGTTTGCAAATATTTTCTCTCATTCTGTAGGATGTCTTTTCACTGTGTTGATTTTTTAATTTTTCAAGCAGAAGATTTTTATTTTGATATCATCCCATTCATCCATTTTTCCTTTTGCTGCTTGTGCTTTTGGAGTCTTATTCAAAAAATTCTTGTCCAGACCAATATCAGAAAGCATTTTTTCCCCACATTTTCTTCTAGTAGTCTTATTGCTTTAGGTCTGGGTTATCTATTTTGTTCCATTGGTCTATGTGTCTATTTTTCATCCATCATCATGCAGTGTTGGTTACTATAGATTTGTAGTACATTTTAAAATCAGGTAATATACCTCCAGTGTTGTTCTTTTTGCTCAAAATTACTTTGGCTATTCAAGGTTTCTGTTGTTTCATGTGAATTTTAGGATTTTTTTTATTTAGAGAAAAGACAGTTTTTTTTTAATTATTATACTTTAAGTTTTAGGGTACATGTGCACAATGTGCAGGTTAGTTACATATGTATACATGTGCCATGTTGGTGTGCTGCACCCATTAACTCGTCATTTAACATTAGGTATATCTCCTAATGCTATCCCTCCTCCATCCCGCCACCCCACAACAGGCCCTCGTGTGTGATGTTCCCCTTCCTGTGTCCATGTGTTCTCATTGTTCAATTCTCACCTACGAACCAGAACGTGCGCTGTTTGGTTTTTTGTCCTTGTGATAGTTTGCTGAGAATGACGATTTCCAGCTTCATCCATGTCCTTACAAAGGACATGAACTCATCATTTTTTATGGCTGCATAGTATTCCATGGTGTGTATGTGCCACATTTTCTTAATCCAGTCTATAATTGTTGGACATTTGGCTTGGTTCCAAGTCTTTGCTATTGTGAATAGTGCCACAATAAACATATGTGTGCATGTGCCTTTATAACAGCATGATTTATAATGCTTTGGGTATATACCCAGTAATGGGATGGCTGGGTAAAATGGTATTTCTAGTTCTAGATCCCTGAGGAATCACCACACTGACTTCCACAATGGTTGAACTAGTTTACAGTCCCACCAACAGTGTAAAAGTGTTCCTATTTCTCCACATTCTCTCCAGCACCTGTTGTTTCCTGACATAATGATCGCCATTCTAATAGGTGTGAGATGGTATCTCACTGTGGTTTTGATTTGCATTTCTCTGATGGCCAGTGATGATGAGCATTTCTTCATGTGTCTGTTGGCTGCATAAATGTCTTCTTTTGAGAAGTGTCTGTTCATATCCTTTGCCTACTTTTTGAAGGGGTTGTTTGTTTTTTTCTTGTAAATTTGTTTGAGTTCATCGTAGATTCTGGATATTAGCCCTTTGTCAGATGACTGGATTGCAAAAATTTTCTCCCATTCTGTAGGTTGCCTGTTCACTGTGATGGTAGTTTCTTTTGCTATGCAGAAGTTCTTTAGTTTAATTAGATCCCATTTGTCAATTTTGGCTTTTGTTGCCATTGCTTTTGGAGTTTTAGACATGAAGTCTTTGCCATGCCTGTGTCCTGAATGGCATTGCCTAGGTTTTCTTCTAGGGTTTTTATGGTTTTAGGTGTAACATTTAAGTCTTTAATCCACCTTGAATTAATTTTTGTATAATGTGTAAGGAAAGGATCCAGTTTCAGCTTTCTACATATGGCTAGCCAGTTTTCCCAGAACCATTTATTAAATAGGGAATCCTTTCCCCATTGCTTGTTTTTGTCAGGTTTGTCAAAAATCAGATGGTTGTAGATATGTGGCATTATTTCTGAGGGCTCTGTTCTGCTCCATTGGTCTATATCTCTGTTTTGGTAACAGTACCATGCTGTTTTGGTTACTGTAGCCTTGTAGTATAGTTTGAAGTCATGTAACGTGATGCCTCCAGCTTTGTTCTTTTGGCTTAGGATTGACTTGGCAATGTGGGCTCTTTTTTGGTTCCATATGAACTTTAAAGTAGTTTTTTCCAATTCTGTGAAGAAAGTCATTGATAGCTTGATGGGGATGGCATTGAATCTATAAATTACCTTGGGCTGTATGGCCATGTTCACGATATTGATTCTTTCTATCCATGACCATGGAATGTTCTTCCATTTGTTAGTATCCTCTTTTATTTCCTTGAGCAGTGGTTTGTAGTTCTCCTTGAGGAGGTCCTTCACATCCCTTTTAAGTTGGATTCCTAGGTATTTTATTCTCTTTGAAACAATTGTGAATGGGAGTTCACTCATGATTTGGCCCTCTGTTTGTCTGTTATTGGTGTATAAGAATGCTTGTGTTTTTTGTACATTGATTTTGTATCCTGAGACCTTGCTGAAATTGCCTATCAGCTTAAGGAGATTTTGGGCTGAGATGATGGGGTTTTCTAGATATACAATCATGTCACCTGCAAACAGGGACAATTTGACTTCCTCTTTTCCTAATTAAATACCCTTTATTTCTTTCTCCCACTTGATTGCCCTGGCTAGAACTTCCAACACTATGTTGAATAGGAGTGGTGAGAGAGGGCATCCCTGTCTTGTGCCAGTTTTCAAAGGGAAAGCTTCCAGTTTTTGCCCATTCAGTATGATATTGGCTGTGGGTTTGTCATAGATAGCTCTTATTATTTTGAGATATGTCCCATCAATACCTAATTTATTGAGAGTTTTTAGCATGAAGTGTTGTTGAATTTTGTCAAAGGCCTTTTCTGCATCTATTGGGATAATCATATGGTTTTTGTCATTGGTTATGTTTATATGCTGGATTACATTTATTGATTTGCGTATGTTGAAGTAGCCTTGCATCCCAGGGATGAAGCCCATTTGTTCGTGGTGGATAAGCTTTTTGATGTGCTGCTGGATTCTGTTTGCCAGTATTTTATTGAGGATTTTTGCATCGATGTTCATCAGGGATATTGGTCTAAAATTCTCTGTTTTTATTGTATCTCTGCCAGGCTTTAGTATGAGGATGATGCTGGCCTCATAAAATGAGTTAGGGAGGATTCCCTCTTTTTCTATTGATTGGAATAGTTTCAGAAGGAATGGTACCAGCTCCTACTTGTACCTCAGGCAGAATTCGGCTGTGAATCCATCTAGTCCTGGCCTTTTTTTGACAGTTTTTTAAATAAGTGATGCTGCGAAAACTGGCTAACTGTATGTAGAAGAATAAAATCAGACTCCTGTCCCTCATAATACACAAAAATCAAATCGAAATGGTTTAAATACTTAAATGTAGAACCTGAAACTATGAAACTAGTAGAAGAAAATGCTGGGGAATGCTCCAGGATATTGGTCTGGGCAAAGATTTCTTGAGTAAGACCTTAAAAACACAGGGAAAGAAAGAAATTATTGGCAAATGTGATCACATCAAGCTAAAAGCCTTCTGTACAGCAAAGGAAATAATTAAAGTGAAGGGACAATCCACAGAATAAAAGAAAATATTTGCAAATAATTCAACTGAAAAATTAATAATCATAATATATAAGGAACTCAAACAACTCAATAACAAAAAACCCAAGTGCTTAAGAAAAAAATGGATAAAATAATTGAATGGCCATTTCTCATAAGAGGACATAAAAATGGCCAAGTGGTACATGAAAAAATGCTCAACATCACTAAGCATAAGATATGCAAATCAAAACAATGAGATATAATTTCACCTCAGTTAAAATGTTTTTTATCAAAAAACTAAAAAAAAAAAAAAGATACTGGTGAGGATGAAGAGAAAGGAGAACACTTTTATACTGTTGGTGGGAATGTAAATTAGTAGAGCTACTAAGGAATGACAGTGGAGATTTCCCCCAAAAACTAAAAGTAGATCTATCATATGACCCACCAATGACACTGCTGGGTATATATTCAAAAGAAAGAAAACCAGTATGTTGAAGAGATATTTGCCCTCCTATGTTTATTGCAGAAGTAGTCACAATAGCCAAGATATGGAATCAACATATGTGTCTATCAGAGGATGAAAGGATAAAGAAAATTATATATATATATATATATATATGTGTGTGTGTGTGTGTGTATGTGTGTGTGTATACATATATATATATATACACACACAACGTAATACTATTCAACCATAAAAAAAATAAAATCCTGTCATTTGCAACAACGTGGACGAAACTAGAGGACATTATTTTAAGTAAAATAAAGCAGGCACAGAAAGACACATCATATATTCTCACTCACATATGGGAGCTAAAAAAACGATCTCATGAAGATAAAGCATAGAATAATGACTACCAGAGGCTGGGAAAAATGATGCAGGTAAAGGAATAAAGATGGGTTGGTTAATGGGTGGAAAAATACAGTTAGAAAGAAGGAAGAAGATCTACTACAATAGGTAGATCTTATTAACTATTAACTATAGTTATCATAACAGGTATTTCTAACATGAAGAAATAATAAATGTTTGAAGTGATGGATAACCCAATTGCCCTAATTTGATCATTACAAATTGTATGCTTTTATCAAAATATCACATTTACCACATAAATATGTATAACTATTATATATCCACAAAATTAAAAATAAAAAAGGTTATTTCTAAGTATTTTGTAGCTATTATAAACAGAATTGTTTCCTTGGTTCATTTTTCAAATGGTCCTTTATTCGTATATATGTTACTAATTTTTGTAGGTCAGTTTTGTATTCTAAGCTTTACTGTATACTGGTTCTAACAATTTCTAGGGTGGTCTTTAGGGTTTTCTCTACAAAAGATCATGTCATCTGCAAAGAAGGACAAGTTAATTTCTTCCTTTTAAATGTATATTGCTTTATTTCTCTCTCTTGCCTAATTGCTCTATCTAGACCGTCCAGTATTATGTTGAGTAGAAATGACAAAGGTGGGCATCATTGTCTTGTTCCAGATCTTAGAGAAGAAGTTTTTCAACTTTTCGCTGTTCAGTATGATATTAGCTGTGGGTTTGTCATATTTGACCTTTCTTGTACTGAGGTACATTCCTTCTATATCTAATGGGTTGATAATTTTTATCACAAAAGGGTCTTAAATTTTGTCAAATGCTTTTTCTGTATTTGTCAAGATAATTACGTGGTTTCTGTTCTTCATTCTGTTAATGTAGTGTATCACATTTATGTATTTACATATTTGAACCATCCTTGCATCCCTCAGATGAATTCCACTTGATCACGGTGAATGATCTTTTTAATGAGCTGCTGAATTCAGTTTGCTAGTATTTTGTCATTTTAATGTCCATGGGATCTACTTTGATGGTCTCTCTCTCTTTTCTGGCATGAATAATTTGGGTCTTTTCTCTTTTTCTCTTAGATAACCTTCCTGGAGGGTTCTTAGTGTATTGATCTTTTCTAAGTACTTTTCATTTTGGTGCTCTTCTCTACTTGTTTCCTATTTTCAATATTATTGATTTTTTCTAATTGTTATTATTTATTTTCTTCTGTTTACAGTGCATTTAACTTGCTTTTCTTTTTCTAGATTTCTAAATGGAAGAAAGATTTTAGATCTTTCTTACTTTATAATAATATGCATTTAGTGATATAAATTTCCCTGTAAACACAATTTTTGTTGCATCCCACAAATTTTGATGAGTAACATTTTTATTTTTACTTAGTTCAATATATATTTTTAATTTCTTTTGAGACTTCTCCTTTGACCCATATTTTATTTAGAAGTATGTTGTTTAATCTGTAAGTGTTTTGGGTGTTCCAGTATTTCAGTTATGGATTTCTAGTTTCATTCCATTGTGGGCTGAGAACATACTTTGTAAAATTTATTATATTTTAAACTTATTAAGGTGTGTTTTATGGCTCAAATCTGGTCTATCTTAGTGAACGTTCTCTGTGAGCTTCAGAAAATTGTCTATTCTACTGCTGTTAGATGAAGGAGTCTATAGTTGTCTATTATGTTCAGTTGATTGATAGCACTGTTCAGTTGAAATATATTTTTACTGATTTTCTTCCTACTAGATTTATCAATTACTAACAGAAGGGTGTTGAAGACTCCAACTATAATATCAAATTTAGCATTTCTCCCTGATGTTCTTTTAGTGTCTCAAGTTCTATCGGTTTTAAGGATCTGTTGTTAGGTGCATATAAATTAAGAATTGATATGAGTTCTTAAGAGAATGGATTCCTTTATTATTGTGTATAATTTTTAAATTCTATCTTTGTGTTATTTTCTTACTTGATGTTCTTTGGCTTACATTACACATCTTAACTAATCAGAATCTACTTCAGTTAAAAACAAACTTGGTTTTAGTGAAATACATAAACTTTATTTTTGTATTGTTCCACCACCTGTACTTTCTTGTGCTATTACTATTATACATATTATGTCTATTTGGGCTATAAACCCAATGGCACACTGTTGGAATTGTTACCTTATATAAACATATTTTTTAAAGAAGATGGAATAAGGGAATTTTGAAATGTACCTTTGAAATGGATATCCTAATTTCCATGTGGGCATTTAAAAAATTAGCTGGAATATGAAGAAACAAAGGCATTATCTGGATATTTGGATATGAAAATATCTTTTGATAGATAAGGTGATACATTAAAACAGGGATTCTACCCCTGGATAGTTTTATGTTAAAATTATTTTGAGACAGATAATCACATAGCACATTATAAAGAATATTGGGCCTTAAACTTCACCTTGTAAAAATTGAAAATAAAACAAATCTCTGCTAGTAGATACCTCTCAATGTTTGGTATTAAGCACCAAATCTGATAAAGCACTCTCACAATTGATATTAAAGATATTGACTACATATGGTTATTATTTTATCTATGTTTACTGGAGAAATGACATTTTAAATCTTCCCCTGTGTACTGAAAGGTATGCTGAAACTACCCGATGATATGCAAAAACAATGTATTAATATTATGTAAATCTTGGGGTGAGAAACACCAGGAGACTATGATCACATGAGACTATGAATATGAGAAAATAATCTGAATTTTAGGTTAAAAAGATTAGCATTAAAAATCAGTCAGTTAGAATGAATAAGAACTAGTACTTGATACCACAATAGGGTGATTATAGTTGACAAAAATTTACTGTATATTTTAAAATGTCTCAAAAATGCAATTGGGATATTCCTAACACAAAGAAATAAAAAATACTTTAGTTCATGTATATCCCAGTAATGCAGATTTGATCATTACATATTGTATGCATGTATCAAAACATCACATGTACCCAATAAACATATATAATTGTTAGGTAATCATAATAATTAAAAATATTTTGTTAAAAAAAGCTTATCAGGAAAACAAATAAGCCTTAATCTATGTTCATGTCAAAGTATTGTGGTAGAGTTTTAACTATGAAAATTTCTTCCCAACATAATAGCCTGTCATAAAACAATAAGTACAGTAAATCATAACAGAAAATCTAAGTAATACAAAAGAATATGTGTGAGAATAACAACATAACTAATATAGGGAAGAAATAAAATAGTCAAACTTTTTTCAACTAGAATAGAAAAAAGTATTATGACTCTGAAAATACATGTTCTTTACAGTTTATGGTCTTTAAAGGATGCTATTCCCTCAGTAGAAGCCTTCTGAATTCACTACAGTTGATGATAATTGCCTACAGTCATTTTTAGAGACTATAAGCATAAATCTAATTATTGCATCTAAATATGCATACATGGTTGCTATCATAGCTATCCATTTTAGCTTGCTATTAAAAAACTTTTTCCCTTATGAAAATGAATCTTATGTTTGACTGGAAATATTTCTTTAATTTCGAATTATGGGGAAAACCCATTAAGGCAATATAGCTTTAAAATGAAATAAATTTTTTATCAGTAATAGCTATATTTTATGTTTCTGTTTTGAATTATTCATGGAGTCCTAGAATTTAGGTATTGAAAACGGCATCAAAGATTATTTATTCAAGTAAAATATTTAATCTAAGTCATGTTATCTCTTGGAAAAAAAAAGCCTCAATGCTCTTGTATAAAATCAACAAATGAGCTATTTGCTGAGGCAAAGAGCTATTATTATAAAACAATATAAATCTTATATAGTTTGCTTTTTGTTTATGTTATATACAAATATTCATAGTATAGATTATGATATAAATACTACAGGTAGAAATATATAGATATTATATTTAGTATTCCATCTATATTTTATAGTATATATTCCTCTGGTATATATTATTTACTATGGTAATAAAGTAGCAATAACTAAAAGTACAAAGTCATTAAGGTAATTTTTCAAAATCTAAATATAAAACCTAAGTATAAAACTTAATACTCCACTCCTGGTGCAGGACCAAAATCAAGAATTACTTTTTTTTCTTTCTGTCTAAAATTTGATTTAATTGGTTAGGTTTCCATGAACACACACTTATTATCCTCCCACTTTCACAGAGTTATATGTACATGTTAAAAATTTCAAACATGTTTGTACTCCAGTAATACATTTAGTTTCTTTTTCTAACCTTCATGAAGACATCTGCCTCCAAGTCCTCCTGTTTTCAGGCCAGACTGTGAAACTGACTGACCACGTTGCTTGCTCTTCAACTGTCATCTTGGGACTTTATTCTATAACAATAACCTGGAATTTCCTCTCATATAATCTTACTGTTCCTTTGTTCTTTTTCACCTGGTCCTTTCCTTTTTCTACATTTACTTTTTTATTTTGTAGAACATCTATCCTCTAGTAGCTTTCTGTGGATACCTGGAAAATAACATTTTGAGACATCGTATGTTTCAGAAAAGTCTTTTAGAATCTCCACATTTCCTAAGTAACTTTCCTGAAAATAGAATTTTCAGTTGACACTCCCGTTTTCTCGGAAATTCAAAGGCTTTGCCCCGTTTTGTCTTTTGGCTTCCACTATTGCTCTTGCAAATTCCTAATGATATTGTGACTCTTAATTCTATGTATAGGACTGTTTTGGCTATTTGAAAACTTTTAGAATCATCTATTTATGGTTTTCCAAATGTTTAGGGAAATTCATTTTGGTGTGTACTTTTTTCATTTACTTTATTAACATGTGGATCCTTAAAACTGAACACTTCTGCAGTAATATTTGTAGAGATTTACTTGTGTAATGTTTTTGAATTGTTTTCTTCCCTTAATTTCTATTTTCTTTCTTTCTGGGACTCCTCCTAGTCATACGTCTAGCCTCCAATTTGATCATATAATGTTGCCAGTTTGTCTCACTTTTTTTTTTTGAATTTGTCTTTTTTTTCTACATTTTACAAAATTTCTTTAACTTTAATCTTATTAACCTTTCCATGAATTTCCCATTGAATCATATCTTTAATTGAAAAGAACACTTTCTTGTGTATGGAACTCTTTAATCTTATTTGATAGATGTAATATCTGTTAACTACCTAAGAATATTAACTATAGCTCATTTAAAACTTTTTGTTCATTGTTCCTGTTTCCTCTGAAATTCCTTTGTTTCTGACTTTTATGATAGATAACTCTTTCCATTTCTGATGATCTTTTCTATCCTTTCATATTGTTTTAGTCAAACCTCGACCAGAAAGAAATGAAATACTTTAAGTATTTAAAACAGAGAATTAGTACAGGAGGTTAGCGGCATAGACAGTGGCTCATCTGATAATGCAGTCATGGGGCAGTGCCTCACTTTGGCAACATAGAGATGGTTTTGGAGAATGAAAATATGAAACCAAACAGAGCAAGATATGGAAAGAAATTAACTTTAGGGAAAATAATCATAGAACTAGCAAACATATTTAAAAGAAAATTAGGATAATTTTATGGGAAACTCTAACATGAGTGAGACCTCTCCAGTAGTTTTATTGTTGATTGATTTGGTGTGAACCAAGCATTTCAATTGATATCTTCAAAACTGAATGACCAGGAAATATTTTTTCATGTGATGATCCACCTCTCTAGACAGGAATATTTTAATCTCCTTTCTGGACAGTATAAGCTGAGCTGGAAGCTAAGCATGGAAAATAGCTAGTGACCTCACCATTCATCAGCAGATGCTCACTCAATGGCCCAGCTTTCTGCCTTTGCCTAAGACTCACACAGCCTTGTGACTGGTTTCTTTTTGGATCTCATCCACAGAGTAAACTCCCTGTCTACTGCTACTGTCCTGAAGCCATAAGATCAAACTGAATGGTTTAGTGGAAAAGAGGTGGAACTTAACACACTTTATGTGGGGTTTCAATCACTCTTTCTGTTTTTCATCCAGTTCTGTTTTTATATTTGGTGGTGACTCCAATTAGTGAACCTTTCCAGTCATTGCTTGGTGCAACAATATGCCTCTTATTTAAATTTTTCTCTATAAACAGGTTTTGGCTTTTGTCATTAATTAACCCAACTAACACCTATTCATTCAGTTCCCACCTCACAAAATTGTGCTTATTTCTCTCATTGGTTCTTGGTTTCTCTAGATGCTTGTGGATTTATAACTAGTTCACTTTGGTTTCATTTTAGTGATAATTCAAGGAACAGAGATTTGTGTGAGTGTACAATATCTATCTTTTCTTTTTTCATCTTAATGACAGAAAATATTGTATAGATAACAAACTTAATGAGTGAAACCTTAGTGACAACACTGCTTTTAAAAACAAAAGCTTTAACTAGCTTCTTAATATTGCAAAATTATGTTATGCATGTTTATTTTGTTCAAAATGTATATGCAACTTTTATTTTTAATATTTCTCTCCTATTCATATTTGCATGTCAGGATTATAGAAGTCTTGCCGGAAACTGATAGATTGCTTATGTAGAAATTTCTGTCAGTTATTTTAGAATACATTATTATTTCACAAATGCTGTGAAATTAGAAATAGTGTAAATATTATATTTTGTATTACCTTCTTCAACGCATTTGTCAAAAAGAATGGCACATCTGTGGATGGTTACACAATACGTTCTATCAGTCTGTGTCTTAGTGATTGTCCACTGATGAGAAACTCCAATTAGCCTATTGTCAAAGCATAATTTCTCATGAAAAAGTTTGTTTTTCTAAATTTTTACTAGATGCAATCTATGCTTCAATGATTAAGTGAAATACAGTCCAGCAATTCACATATTTCACATTTACTTTTTTGATTACTAAAAATTACTTCTTATTAAATCCATGTGTGTAAGCAACAGTGTAAATTTTTTGTACCTTCATTTTGAAGGTAGAAAAATATTTCTTGGGTTACATACTTGATCAATGCATGGCATTAAGGGTAAAAAGATTAGGAACTTAAGGGTGAACTGATTTGAAAATACCACTTCAACATTTGCAAAAATAATTGATATTCATACATAGATTTCCACAGCTTGAATATGCATAAATTGTTCACTGAAGCATTGTTTTTCATCTCACTCAGCTTTCCTAGAGGTAGTTTACAGAAGTAGAAACAGTATTCGATTGTACAGGCTTTTAAAAGAATTACAACTGTAACATTTGACATAGTTTGTGAAAAGTGCATTTTGTGTTAATTTGAGTGAGATGTTAATGCCCACCTGCCTGTCTAAATTCAGAGAACCAGAGTGAATTTTTCTGTATCAATTTGTCCTCTTAGAAAGAATACAGCTACATTGTCAATGCAGGGACAAAGTTTTAATCAAGCTCTGCTTCAGCCAATACTTAATGCAAGTAGCAAGAATACCTGTTCTTCCATGAACTGGCTGGAAGCTTTCCTGCTGACCGAGACAAGACTCACTAGGAATGGGTATTGGGAAGACCTCTATTCACTAAAAGGTTTGGAGTCAACTTCCAGAGCCATAGAACACCGCAAGGCTCATGAGAGTAAAGTTAGAGAACACTGAGAACTCCCTGAGTATTTTGAAAATTCCAAGAGAAGAACAGCCAGACAAAGCAATTTGAACATTTCATAGGGTCTTATTTTTGACATTTCTATAATTTTGTAGTTGTGAATATGGATATGGCATTTTCTTCTTTTCACTCACTCATATTGAGTACTTACAGACTTAAATGATTTTCAGGCATTACAAAAATACCCCCTGCAACTGTATGCAAATGAAGTAGGGTTTGCTCAGCATAGATAGCATTTATCTGGAGAGCAGGTCCATATATTTCACCAGAGTCTCAGAGTGGCATCTATATTAAAAAATGATTAAAAAAGGGACTTAAAGCTTCCCCCTGAAAGGAAGGTAAGTCTATTTCAGTATTTCAAACGACATAATAAATCCTGGGTTATGTTAATTTTGCATTTCTCTTCTAGGGCCTGTATGTATTGACTAACAGACAAGTAAAGTATTCTGTATTGGTGATTATGCTGCTAATTGAGTGTAGAAGATAATGTTTATTGTTAATTGAAAATAAAATAAGCTCAATAACCAATTCAAGTTAGAATTTCACTCTCCTGGCAGCCTTATTTTTGGTCTTATTTTACTCTTTAACCTCTATTTTTATGTACATTTACTTACATCTTATGATTTTAATAAAAAAATATATATATGCTGTGAAAATGGATGCCTGGCTTAAATGTAGTGTCACGCAGAAGAACGTGTCTTAAATTTTATTTAACAATATTTATTTATGTAATCAATAAAATAGATGTAATAACCAGAATATTAAATATGTATGGTTTTATCTTTCTTAATCAGGAATTATGAACATAGATGTTCTTGTAGTTGTTTTTTAATTCTTTTTACTCAATGAAATATATCCCATTAGGAAAAAATGTCTTAGAAGTAAAAGAACCTTTCCAAAGGGAAGTTTATATAAATATTACTAATGATCCTGCTAAAATAAATCAAATTTAAAACCTGTTGAAACCCTCAAAACACAAAACTCTTACATAGAACAATGTTGAAATTCTATTAAACTTCCCTAAACTTTGTCTATATAAACAATCCCAAACTTCTGCACTATGAATGATTGACTCTCTGGCAGGGTAGATGGTGGTGTTCTTGTTTGTTTGTTTGCTTTGTTTTTTAGCCCATGGCAATTCAGTCAACAGCTGTGAGCTCCATTTTCTTGCTGTTTGTTCCACCGCCTAGAGTTTTTTCATTTGCTTTTTATGACATAATATGATAGCATTAAAAATGCATTTTGTAAACTATAAATTATATAATCATATTTTGTAACATGTAAATGTTGGGGTGACAAATATTGCTCATGGAATTATATCAAAAAAGTTAACCTTCTTTTACTTTTACCTCTATATTTATCATGCTGTTTTCATGGCAAATGCACATCACATATGATTTTGTGAGGAATTATTAAAGCTGCAAAAGTAGGATCCTTTTATTCTACATTTATGTTTAGTTGGTTCTTTATATAATGAAGTTTCTACATAATATCTTTTTAAAAAGGAAAATTGCATGTAACTAATGTACTTTTACTCAAATGTTTTAATTTAACTTTTATGACAGAATCAGTTCAGATTTGAATATCAACATGTTGTGAACTACTTCTAATTACCAACAAACAAAAGAAATGTAATTCAATTAAATGTAATTAAATTAAATGTACCTATTGTTTTGAATATAAAGGAAGAGAAAGCAAATGTATTTATTTTCAAAGAGGAAGGTAAATAAAAAACTATTTTGAAAAGTTCTGCATAAAAGGGTAAATTCAGATTACATTAATTTTGCAGTGAAACAGCAGTTTAATTTTACACACGTCTAGCCAGTTATTATTTGAAGATTCCAATGAAGGCTACTGAATAACTAGGTAAGTTAATAAATCATTGTCTTTAATCATATGGCATTTAAATCGCAAAATAAAATGGCATGTTGGTTAGTTAATCAAAATTAATTGATGCTGCTGAAGAAATTATGCCCATCTGTAGCAGTTTCTTAATAAATAGAAACCTAAAAATAACTAAGACCAATAGATTTTAAATTGCAGCAGTAGTTTTAATGATATCATTAATTTCCTTCAGCTCTAAAATGTCAAAGATCCTATGAGTTAAATTAGATAGCATTTGGATTTGATGATGTTAGATATTTTAGAATATATTTAAAAGAAATGATTATTAATTTTATTCATTTGGTAAATTCAGTAGGAACTTATTGTTCTCTATTTTCTACCTTCAACAATTTCAGCATTTAATTTACATTACCTCTTCCTAATAAACACACACGCACACATACTCAATTGGCATTCGCAGAGTTTTTCCACCTAATAGATGTTGATAATCTTCCTTCAGGATAGGACATTTATCATACATTTGTTCTCCCGTAATCTATGTCCATTTAATGTTTCTTAAAATCACTGACTGTCCTTAGGACACCCAGACATCCAGCAGTTAGGTAGCTTGCCCAAGACTACAAAACTCCTAAATATATGAGTTGAGTTAGATTCAAACCCAGAACTCTAACCATCTTATGAATGATACTGCTTTTTCAGCAGAATTGTCTTAGCTCCTGAGATGGGCACAAAAATATTGGAGAAAACAATAGTTCAAAAGAGAAAATAAGGATATCAATATTATTTCTTAAACATCATAATTATTTTTAAACTATGTATAAACTTTTACTGTTTTGAAATCAGAAACTATGAGAGTAATCTACTTTTAAATAATATATTAAATATAATTGAAATTCCCACTGGGTTTTTACTCTCTTTCAGGAAGACAAACTCCTACAAAGCTTGTGTTGAGGGTATATTCTGACAGGAGATAATGTAAGATAACGTAAAGCTACACAGTTTTTACGACAAAGTGGTCCACTTGTAAGTATGTTCTGGAAAAATAATTGTTTTAAAACAGGACATTGAAATCTTTGGGTAGGATATCAGGACATTTAAATGCAACAAGAACATAACATGCACTATACAAATATAAACCTCATTTACATTTTTTCACACCAAAAGAGCTCTTTGAGAGAAATATATAAAAGTATTAAATTGTGCAAAAAACTTTTCCTGTGAAATGCCAGTCACTCAACAGAAGAATCTCAGTTTTAAGATGAAATCTTTCCTCCAAAAGCATATTAACGCCCCGCCATAGTTATTATGTTGAGGTAGAGACAAAATTTTCTCCAAGTCTCTATTTGATCTTGAAAACTGATTTCAAAGCCACTAAGTCGTGACAATAACAGAAGGGAAAGGCTAATCCCTTTATGACTTTTCTTTTTAAAACAACTTGACTAAAAAATTAGAGAATATGGAGTAAGTTCTTATTCCCACAGTCGTACAACTGCCTTTGCTCTGAAGATATAATTGGTGCAGTCAGCAAAAACAGTGATAACCTACAGACTATGACTCAAGCTCACAGCTGTACATAGCTCTGATTTGGGGCAGCACACCTTCTGATGATTTAGAAAGTAAGATTTTTTAAGAAAGCAAAAGAGTAAAGAGAATGCAGGCAGACAACAGAAGCCATACTAAAGTGTAAATGAAATACTTATATTTTATTTATCAGAACCCTAAAATATAACTATAAAGTACACTCATATCCCAACTGAGTCAAAGCTAACCTCTAGCAAAATGCCAAGGACATGCATTGAACAATCTACTCTGTAAATAAACTTTATTAATGTTGTTCTACTTGGTTATCATTAAAAAAGAAGGCTTTAGGAAAGCAAAAGAAACCAAATTCTAAGATTAAACAAAAGTGTCAGGAAAACAGAGAAATAAAAATTAGTTTTATAGGCCATTGCTTGGCATAATTTATAAGCAAGTTCTTCTTAAGTTTTAGTTGTAAAAATTCTTTTTTTCTAAGAAACTTAGTAACAATACAGACAATTTCTTTCGTTTTAAAAATATTATATTGCATAAAAAATTAAGCAAGTATGATTTCTTTGTCAGACAAATGTGACAAACAGCAGTTTTAATTAATATTTGCTATTTTTTGTTTTTTTACTGAAGTATAAAGTTTAAGTACTTAAAAATATATATTGACCCCTCCCCTGTCAGCAAGTCCCTTCGTGTTTTAATGGTTTGATTTCTATTCAGTATCTTAAGTCTGTTTTACATTTTCTGAAGAAGACAGTAATGTAATGGATACTGAAATAATGTAATGTAAAGACAACTAGTGTATAGAAAGAGAAATATTGTAAGGGAAAGAGAGCAGGCATCAGAGTAAGAGCTGGGTTTGAATTTGAACTGTATATATATTAATGTATGACTATGAGTTAGTTCCAAATGTCTTTTGAGTCAACTTTTTGTGTAAAATAGGAATAATACTACTTATAGTGAAAAATGTTTACAGGAATTTGAAATTTTTTTCATGATGCATCAAAATATAGTTGATTTTCTAAACCTGTACTCTTTAGTGTGGTAACCACTAGCCTCATGTGCTACTAAACTAAAGAACTGTGGATGGTGTAACTGAAGTACTGAGTTTTTGTTTTATTTAGTTGGTTAATATAACTTAAAATTTAAATTTAAAAACTAGTAATTTTACTTTAAAATATAATCAATATAAAAACTGATGAAATGTTTGATGAAGTATTTGTATAAAAGGTAAGTAGGCTTAAAACAAATTGTTTATGTGAATTTAATGTTTTCATCATAAATTTTATAAAACAAAGATCCAGCACTTTAGAAATTTTATTGCCTAATTTGAGATATATACTACATGTTTAATATGTCAAAATTTTAAAATTTGGTAGAAAAATAAATGTAACCATTTTATTTTAAAATTTTTGTGTTAGTTACATTTGAAATTGTAATATTTAGGACATATTAAGTTAAATATTTTAGTAAAACTAATTTTACCTAATTCTCTTTACATATTTCACCTGACTAGCAGAAAATTTGAAATTACATGTGTCTTTTAATGTATTTCTATTGTTCAGCATTGCTCCATAAATGCTGTTTGTAATTAAACTTACTGAAAAAATAGCAAAGATTTAATATGGAGAGAAGAAAAGATAGTTGTTTTGTATTCATATAATCAGTAATTCTTTACCCTGGCTTCATATCAGTCTTACCTGGTTTGCTCAAAAAATATATACTTGGACTATATAATAATTATATGTGAAGTTGAGAACCACTCTTCTAGCTTTTCAAAAAGCATATTCTTTTCACTAGAAAAGAACAGATCAAAGATACTCATGTGAGAGAGTTTTAACTTCTTATTTTAGAGTACTACTGAATGGACATCCAAGATGGGTCGACTATTCATCTACATTGTCTTTTCTCAGCTCTTTTAATTTTATTTTTCACACAGAGAAAAAGCTTTTAGAATTATTTCAGAATCATGAAAAATTAAAGCGGTAAGGACTTTGTCCACCATGACAATCTTTCAGCCACCAAAGTTACCTTCAGTAAACTGCCTGAGCATAATGCACTGCATTACGTATCTTCTTTAATTTGTTTTTCCCAACTAGATTTATTTGTGATTTTTTTATTACTTCTCTTCATTGGACAATATGCTTGGGTAGAGATTGTGTATAATGTTTCTATATAACTTGACAGCTACTAGAATTTAAGTATTTTGTAAATTAGTGATTAAATATGTTAATGTGTAAATATTAATTGGAATATGATGTAAATTAATAATTCTCATTTTCTTGGAAATATGGAAAATTCTTGCCAATATTATCAGACCATTTTTCCTACTTCTAATCAAGGCTGAATTCTTAATTTCTGATCTTTCTTTGAGGCAAGGATATTAGTATTTTTTTATCATGGATTATTACAGGTTTTAGAGAAACTTTAACTTTTGTGTATCATCAAAAGTAAACCTGAATCATAAGGAAACTTTATTTTCCACCAAAATAAACTGAAAAAGCCCACCACTTTTTAAAGTATCACATAAAAATGGCACTTCTCTCTATGTGAAAGGTGCTCCTACAACATACCATCTGCTCTGTGAATTTTGTGCTCTCGGTCAGTTGTCTCTGTTTTCTAATTCCTTTTACTTAAAAAAGGCTTTCTTTCACATTGGGAAAAGTATCTAAATATGATTTCCTCATTGGAGTAAAATGTTGTAATATTACTCCTCTACAACTAGTAAATGTCTCCCTCTTTGAGAGTAGATCAGTATGTAAGAAATTCGAATCCAATGGTGTGTCTAATTAGCAGTAGTTTATTATTTTCATTCAGCTTGACTGAGTCTTTTTTAAGAAAATTAATCAAACATTAAGCCTTGGAAGAAAAAATGAAAAGTCTAGTCTCTGGTTTCCAGCTTCTGTCACAACACTGCCATTCATGATTGCAGTTCTGGAAACAGGAATTTCAAGCCAGCCCATTTGTCTCTCTAAAGTGTGTCCCACTTTAGAGAGTGTCTCTCCCTATCTCAACTTCTTCTCTTCAAATCAAAATTTAAAAATATATAAGTTACCAATTCCTAATAAAAATATTAAGTTGAATCCAATAATTTGGGAATCCATTAAGTTTTTTCTCTCTGAACTGCCGACTCACGTAAGTTTCTCTGTCCCTTTGACACTTGTGAAATCAACGTAATTTTGAGCAGAAAATAAATAAACTAAGGATATAAAGAGTATAATATGGAAGCTAGTCCTGAGAATTTGCTGTATAATTAGGAAAAGATGATGTAACCATAAAAGAATAAACGCAAAGTATCAGCCAAGCCCAAACAATTGAGTTAACAATTGCTAAATGAGTTGAAAAGATGAGAAAAGACTGTGGTGTAATCAGACAAAAACTATTAGGATAGTGAAGAAGGCACTCCAGGCAGAGAAAGTGTGATTAGCTACGTGGCATACAGGTAGTAAGGGCCAATAGGACAAGCTGGAAATAAACTATTTGCATTGACGGATATGTTTTGATTGAAGGATTAGTTTACTCATTCATTCATTTGTTCAGATAATTCAATTCAATTCTAAATATATTGACTCAATTACTTCAGTGGGCCAAAGACAGAGCTGGGCTATTTTTAACTCTCAAGGATTAAGAGAAATGGGGCCATTGACATCTTTAAATTTGCAAACTAATAACAGGGGCACACAATGAATGAAATGTCCAAGTATAAAAATAAAATGAATACTTCTGCTTCCACTTGAAACAGAGTAACAGGGACCAAATTTATCTTCAATCCTTAAATAAACTAAAACTATAATAATAACAATTGGCAAAATATGTGAAACTATACATCTCAAGGCATCAGTAAAGAAAGAACCGTTTTCTCTGAGAGTTGGATAACAGAGGATATGAATTCTATTATTGCCCAACTTACAGCTGAATGCAAGTGCAATTCCCTTTTGCATATTGGTCTTATGAAAATTTTATTAATTTTTAGAACTCTATAAATATTTCTGTAGAATACTTCACTCCTATATAGAAAATTATATTACAAATCATGAATGATTTATTAATTTTCTACCAGGCTTTTAGGTATATATTTATTTATTGCATAGAAACTTGAATTTTCATTTGAAAATAAGTGGTAATATGGGATATAATTGTCTTGCCCCTTCTTAAAAAGCCCTTTTTATTAGAAATAAAATATGCACAAGAAAGCACAGATAATAGTTTACAACCTGATATCTTCTCACAAATTGAACCCATTTTGTAAAAAGAACATGGATCAAGAAATAGAATATTGCCAAAGTCCCTGAAGTATTTCCTGTGTCTTTCTCTGATTTTACACTTGAAACATAGGCAGAGTTCTGATTTCTAATGTACAGATATGTTTTAACAGGTTTTAAATTCTATATAAATAAAACCAACCATATGTATTTTTCAATTTTGGATTGTTTTTCCTTAAATTATATTTGGGATATTCTTATTTATGGAGCAATAGTTTTCATCCTAATTGCTACATATTATTCAATTTTATGAATACAGATGTTTAATTTATTCATTTATGGTTGTTTGATGTTTGTCTCTAGATTCTTGCTATTATGACTACTACTACTATGAATATTTTCTCTGTATGTATATACATGTACATATATATATATGTCTTTTGATTAAAATGTATTCATTCTATCAGGTATAAAGAAGAAGTATAGGTCAGGTGCAGTGGCTCATGCCTGTAATCCCAGCACTTTGGGAGGTCAAGGCAGTCAGATTACTTGAGGTCAGGAGTTCGAGACCAGCCTGGACAACATGGTGAAATCCTGTCTCTATTAAAAATACAAAAATTAGCCAGGCTTGGTGGCATGTGCCTATAATCCCAGCTACTTGGGAACCTGAGGCAGGAGAATCGCTTGAACCCAGGGGGCAAAAGTTGCCGTGAGCCAAGATTGCACCATTGCACTCCAGCCTGAGTGACAGAATGAGACTCTGTATCAAAGAATAAGAATGAGAAGAAGAAGAAGAAGAAGAAGAAGAAGAAGAAGAAGAAGAAGAAGAGGAAGAAGAAGAAGAAGAAGAAGAAGAAGAAGAAGAAGAAGAGGAGGAGGAGGAGGAGGAGGAGGAGGAGGAGGGGGAGAAGGAGAAGGAAAAGAAGGAGAAGAAGGAGAAGGAGGAGAAGGAGGAGAAGGAGAAGAAGGAGAAGAAGGAGAAGGAGAAGAGGAAGAAGAGGAAGAAAGAAGAAGAAGAAAGAAGAAGAAGGAGGAGAAGGAGGAGAAGGAGGAGAAGGAGAAGAAGGAGAAGAAGGAGAAGGAGAGGAAGAGGAAGAGGAAGAAGAGGAAGAAGAGGAAGAAGAAGAAAGAAGAAGAAGAAAGAAGAACAAGGAGGAGAAGGAGGAGAAGGAGGAGAACGAGAAGAAGGAGAAGAAGGAGAAGGAGAGGAAGAGGAAGAGGAAGAAGAGGAAGAAGAGGAAGAAGAAGAAAGAAGAAGAAGAAGAACAAGAAGAAGAAGAAGAAGAAGAAAGAAGAAGAGGAAGAAGAGGAAGAAGAAGGAAGAAGAAGAAGTAGAAAGAAGTAGGAGAAGAAGAAGCAGAAGACGTAGAAGACGCAGAAGACAGAAGAAGAAGAAGAAGAAGAAGAAGAAGAAGACGAAGAAGAAGAAGAAGAAGAAGAAGAAGAAGAAGAAGAAGAAGAAGAGGAAGAAAAAATCTTCCTGGGTCACAGAGTTGGCATATGATTGGCTACAGTAGGTCATGCCAGTGTTCCAAAATGATTGCTTAAATTTACATTCTCTCTGAAATGTTCATTTTCCAGTTGTTGAACATGCTCACTAGCACATGGTATTGGCCAACGTTTATAGCTTTTAGCTAAACTGAGTAGTAAGTTTGGTAGTAGTAGTAGTAGTAGTAGTAAGTTGTAATCATACTTACAAAACTCAGGACTATGTTTTGTTTTGTTGATGTTTTTAGTATTATTTTGTTTTGCTTACTCTTTGAGGCGATGACAACTTTAAGAAGATAGGTTTTTTGATTATAAATGGAGATATCAAATACTACTTCCAATCTTACTTTGGTTCCTGTTTTTTTTTCCCTTTCCCCAAAGTCTGAAGTCCATTAAAGCTACTTTGTCTTTTGCCTCAATTTTGAACAAATTACATTCAGTATATATGGTAATGGAAAGTATATGATTTGATAGAGAGATATTATTCAGAGATTTACTCAAGAATTTAGCTCAAAAATATGGCACCTAGTTAACTACACATCTTGTTGATTTTTCTATTCTGTTCACAGTCTATTAATAATTTCTTCTCTAAATGACTTAATTTTCTTTCTCAGGGATGCCTAAGAAGTTCTTACTACTCAGTGGGCGAGGTGAAAATATGTGGCTTCATTTTCCTTATAAACATCTAGGAAACTCTCGAGATAATTCTCAGATTATTTACATGCCTTTCCACAAATTTTACTGAGTCTTACATTTGATTATATTAGTGCCTGAAGTCACATACTACTTCTGTGAAATGGCTAGTGGAATCAATGACATTGCCAAATTTTAACATTCATCTTCTCCTTTTGAGGGAGTGGTTTAAGTTGTAAAGGGGATATAGAAAAAATTGTTTAAAGTTAAGCTTTCCTTGAGAATACCTTAGGATAACTATCAAATATGAATAAAATTAATGATTTTTCTTTTTTCTTTTTATTTTATTATTATTATACTTTAAGTTTTAGGGTACATGTGCACAATGTGCAGGTTAGTTACATATGTATACATGTGCCATGCTGGTGTGCTGCACCCATTAACTCGTCATTTAGCATTAGGTATATCTCCTAAAGCTATCCCTCCCCCCTCCCGCCACCCCACAACTGTCCCCAGAGTGTGATGTTCCCCTTCCTGTGTCCATGTGTTCTCATTGTTCAATTCCCACCTATGAGTGAGAATATGCGGTGTTTGGTTTTTCGTTCTTGTGACAGTTTACTGAGAATGATGATTTCCAATTTCATCCATGTCCCTACAAAGGACATGAACTCATCACTTTTTATGACTGCATAGTATTCCATGGTGTATATGTGCCACATTTTCTTAATCCAGTCTATCATTATTGGACATTTGGCTTGGTTCCAAGTCTTTGCTATTGTGAATAGTGCCACAATAAACATACGCGTGCAGGTGTCTTTATAGCAGCATGATTTATAGTCCTTTGGGTATATACCCAGTAATGGGATGGCTGGGTCAAATGGTATTTCTAGTTCTAGATCCCTGAGGAATCGCCACACTGACTTCCACAATGGTTGAACTAGTTTACAGTCCCACCAACAGTGTAAAAGTGTTCCTATTTCTCCACATCCTCTCCAGCACCTGTTGTTTCCTGACTTTTTAATGATTGCCATTCTAACTGGTGTGAGATGGTATCTCACTGTGGTTTTGATTTGCATTTCTCTGATAGCCAGTGATGGTGAGCACTTTTTCATGTGTTTTTTGGCTGCATAAATGTCTTCTTTTGAGAAGTGTCTGTTCATGTCCTTTGCCCACTTTTTGATGGGGTTGTTTATTTTTTTCTTGTAAATTTGTTTGAGTTCATTGTAGATTCTGGATATTAGCCCTTTGTCAGATGAGTAGGTTGTGAAAATTTTCTCCCATTTCGTAGGCTGCCTGTTCACTCTGATGGTAGTTTCTTTTGCTGTGCGATTTTTCAACTAACCCTGCACAGCAGCTTTTCTTTAAGGGTTAAAAAAGATCACTGTTGTTTTACCGGGCAATCATGTTAAATAACTGGATTGGAGTTTGAGGCCATGATGAAATTTAATTTACCTTTATGCCCTTGATTCTCACACAACGTGGTGGGAGCCTTGCACAAAATGAGTTTACAGAGTTTATAGATTCACAAAAATCCCTATAAGGAGCTAACTCTTGGGTTTATACTAATTTCATGAAATTAGAATGACCGTCTCTTGATTTTTACTTTTCATTCTCCTTTGCTGTGTTTTTATGCATACCTATGAGTCATAGTCAAATTCTAAAAGTTAAGTGTTTTACAATGTTTACTTGCTTTGTACACCATTAACTATTTTCTGTCCCTTTCTTCTTATGGTTTTTTCTCCAAGGATATATTCATTGAAGGTTATATGTAAGGCATGAATCCTTCCTGGTGTCCTACTGCTTTCTTTTTACACTCAGTTCTGCAAGCACAGTACCAATTATCTTGCCTAAAATCTAATCTAGTTATTACTAAGCTAATGACTCTTACATATTTCTATTCAATGAGCTCTCATATATACTCTCATTCTATGTTACTCAGGGATATGCTTCTGGGTAATATTGTACCGATGCCTAAACATCAAATAAATTTATTTTCCTCCAGATCTACATTCTTATTAAATTTATCATTTATTCAGGTTCTCCCAGGATTTTTAAATTTTTGTAGAATAAATTATTATGTTTAATTTTTACTTTGGTCATATTCTTATATGTCCTCTAAGACACAGAGTTTACTTTTTGGAAGTTTACACATGCCACCTTTTTCTCTTGATTTTCTGCATAAACAGCACTATCTCTTCCTCAGTGTTTGAAATATTTCAACATTATCTAACTGCATTTTTGTTGTTGTTAAACAGAAAAAGTTATTTTAAAATTCCTTAATAATTGGAGCTAGAAATTCTACCACTTCTTGCATCTCTCTCCTGGAGTCAGTCTCTTCATCAAAAAGTTATACTTCATGATATATTTTTATCTAAATTCAAATTTAACTGTTACTGTTTCATAACATACATATAACACTATATACAATTTGTTATAAATTGTATAATTATTCATTTTGTAACATACAAAACATATGCTAAAACTACATAGTTTTTAAAACACTAAATTATTCCATATATAATAAAACTACCTCTTCCCTAAAATATGTTTTATAAAAATAATTTCCCCTATGTCTTCTGAAGACCTTTATGCATCTCTTCTTACACTCATCTTCTTTTATAGTGGCCAGCTAGCAGTTTATGTGTCCTCATTGCAAAAGACTGTGTTGCCTAATGGCTACAGACCATCTTATTTATCTTTATTCCTCTAGAACCTAATACAGTGGACAGTACATTATATGCGTTTGGTAATTGCCTGTGAATTGAATTGAAATTGGTTTACAAGTGTTTCTTGAAATTAAATGGCCAATAACACATAGCTTTCAAATTATTCTAGTATTTGGAACTGACTGTATCATACATTTTTCTTAGACTATCATATATTGTATCATAAATATTGTAATTCTATTTTATGATAATGAAACATTTAGCACAGATAAAAATAAAGGTGCCATTAAATTACTCTTTATTGCTATGTTATGTTATTTTAAGAATTGGACACAATGTTGCGTTAAATTTTTAATTATTTTGATAAAAGGGATATGACTTATCTGTACTGTGAGATGTTCTTAGGAAATACGATGACTAGTATGTATTTTTAACTGTATTAACTTCCACAATTTAGCGATAGGGCTTAAGAGGGGATAAGCACTCAACTCAAATAATCAGGGCTGATCATTAGGAATATGTTATGCCTGATAATTTAACAGACCTTAACAAACTTATATACTTAATAAAGTAAATTTTAAAATCTTTTCTGAAAGCTAATAAAAGACATATAAAATAGGCATTTTCCAACGCAAATTTTTAAAGAAATATAATTTTTTCAAAATGAAGTAAAATACAAGTATTTATTAAAATATTAATGGTATCTAATTTTCTCCAGCTCTGATATTCCTCCCCTTTTTCTCTCACTCTTTCTATTCTCTTTTTCTCTCTCTCATGTGTATCTTTGAATACGGTATTAAAGTATAACAGAAATGTAACAGAATAATTTGTTTTTCTAAATTTCCCTATGACAATAGGGAAGGACCACTTCTTTCCAATTATTTCTAAAAGGTGATGGAAAGGAATCTGCTAAACGATAGTGCAATTGATTAAAGATTGTACTCCACTGGCAGTCACTGCTTCCAGGCATCTTTCTGTCTTACTGCTGCCATTGTGCCTGTCTTTGAGTCTGCTATTCATTCTCTTCTCCAATTTCATGTTTTAGAATACGCATCTCTGAACAAATATAGATATACAGTAATCGACTGAGACAGAGATACACCAGACTTATGGATGCCAAATTACTCAATTTAGGGGAGGGAGGTAGATACAATATGCATTAGTCCATGAAATGATCCCCTGAAGTTTGCAATGTGTAGTTGGCATTCTCGGCAGATGCTGTGGCTCTCAGTGGGCTATACCTTGTCTTTTTCTAGATAAATTCAGGGGAGTGAATACTTTACGTTATTATTTGTGCATGGAGCTTCTATGTTTTGATTTAGGTTTATATACAGAAGACAGTAAAAAATATTTTCTGTTAATTGGTCATATTTGTCTTTTGTGTCTTAAAATATGTAACACCTATTTTAAAATCAGCATGGTGACTATAGTTAATAACAATGTACTTTTTATTTCCAAATGGTCAAGAGAGTAAATTTCAAGTGATCTCACCATACAAAAATGTATGTTGAGTGATGAAGTGATAGATATGTTAATTAGCTTGCCTAATCATTCCATAATGCATACATATACCAGAACATAACATTGTACCCCACAAATATATAAATTATTCTTAATTGAAAATTAAAACATTTTCAATTAACAGTCTATTTAATGAATATGTTGTCTAAGTTTTATTTCCAATGTATTCATTTACTTGTATTTTGCATGCTATTTCCTAAACAATTACTCTTATCTTTGATTTTAAATTTACTTTGCGGGGAATGTAATGAGAAGATGGGGGCCAGAAAAGTGAAGTAACTTCAGAAACATCAAGTAAAAATTTAGTGTACTTCAGGGTTAGGTCTTGAAATTTAGATTCTTGGCTACTAGTCCTGTATTTAACGGCAAATGCATAGAGACATTGAAGAGTGACATATGGGTGATGGGAAAGTCAGCACAGCCTTGTCTGAAAAAAAAAATCGGAATGGTCTTCAGAAACTGGATAGTGAATCATGTTTCATATCCACAAGAGCCGTAATTGGATGAAACTCTACATGGCTACAAATATTATTTATTTCATGAATTTTGTAGATGAATAAATTTGTGGAATGTTGAATTTATATGTTGAGGGTATATTCACACCCTACTGAATTTTCTGGAAAAAAAAAAAAAAACAGAGAGAATATAGAATGGGAAAGTTAATGCCTGCAAAATCTTATCAATTTTATCTTGGTGTTAACAGAAAATTTAACACAGAGTATATTATAACAAAAAAAACCTCAGCTAAATCATGTATGGAAAGTTAAATTCCCTACTTTTGCTTAATAGGCTAGGAAAGTTGTCAGTATGAATTTACCAGTAACTTCCATTACATGTTAAAAGCAGTTTTGTATGCCTTTCAACTTCCCCAGGTGTGGCCAATAGCTACTAGCATTTCCATAAAGTATAAGCACAATATCCTCATTTGTGGAGCATCCTCTGGTATATTTCTTACTCTGGTTTACCTTGAAATTTGATGAGTATATCATATAGCTTTAATAGTGAACAATAAATAAAAGTAATTATTTTCTTAATAGCATGTTATCTCTTATTTCACCTTATTCTGTGAAGCATTTCTTGGCACCATATGGTTTATTTGAGTGAACATCAATTTTAACCTGACTTAGAGTTTCTCATTGCAATATACATTTGGAAATGGGCAAGGAGATTATTTGCTCTGTTCTTGTAATTTAAAAGAGTTCAGATACGAGAAAACAAAATATATATATTTGCCACTGTCCCTTGGAATCTGGCACTCAATACTGTCAAAGCATGACCTGTAACCTAAACACCAACTCATGGGGTGACTAACAAGCAAAGTCATCTTTACATTTCTAGTCCTGTGTTTTTGAAACAAAAGACTAATGCACTCAAATATTATAAAAATTTTACGTCTGACATTGTAGACTGATTCTGGTTACAAGTATAGAAAAGTTTCATTCTTTGTGCTTAGTCAAAAAACAAACAAATGGGCCGGGCACGGTGGCTCACGCCTATAATCCCAGCACTTTGGGAGGCTGAGGCGGGCAGATCACAAGGTCAGGAGATTGAGACCATCCTGGCCAACATGGTGAAACCCTGTCTCTACTAAAAATACAAAAATTATCTGGGCATGGTGGCATGTGCCTGTTGTCCCAGCTACATGGGAGGCTGAGGAAGGAGAATGGCTGAACCCGGGAGGAGGAGGTTGCAGTGAGCAGAGATCGCGCCACTGCACTCCAGCCTGGCAACAGAGAGAGATTCCATCTCAAACAAAACAAAACAAAACACACATAATTAACTTGTCAAATGCTGCCTCTCAGATATCGTGAACGCAAAAGATTCTTGCACAATACAGTGTCCGTGTATTTTTTTCTAAGAAAGCAAAACATGAAGTTTATTACTTTTCTTAATATTCCAATCCCAGCTTTTAAAAGACTGCCTGAATTTACAACACTGAAAAGACATGTATAGCAGCTGACTAACAATGTTTAATATTAAATAATTGACATTACATTTCAAATTTGAATACAGTTACATCTATTAACAAGGGCAAAATATGGTATTTATTCATTTTATTAGCATCTAGGAAAACATTGAATATCATAATTTTTTATTTTAAAAAATATAATATAAACCACATTACTATTTGTGCATGTGCCATGCATCTGTGTGTGTGGGTATGTGTTTGGTGAGGACACTTAAAATTTGCTATTTTATCAAATTTCAAGTAGACAATGTGGTATTATTAACTATAGTCACCATGCTGTACATTTGATCCCCAGAACATATTCATCTGATAACTGACCAGTATCTCCCCATTTTTCCCAACTCCCAGCCACTGAGAACCACTTTTTTAGCCTCTGCTTCTATGAGTTAAACTTTTTCAGATTCCACATATAAGTAAGATCATACAGCATCTGTCCTCCTGGGTCTGGTTTACTGCACAGAGCTTAATGTCCTCCAGGTTCATCCATGTAGTCACAAGGACAGGATTTTTGTGTGTTACTGGACAATATTCAATTCTGTCTATCATCTCTCTAGCTATATATCTATCTCTCTGTCATTTTAAAATCTATTCATCTATTGATGGACACTTAGGTTGTTTCCATACCTTGGCTACTGTGATTAATGCTGCAATGAACATGTGAGTGCAGATATCTCTTTGACACTGATTAAGTGAGATTGCTAGATCATATGGTGGTTTTATTTTTAGGTTTTTGAGGGACTTTCATAGTGTTTTCCATAATGTCTGCACCAATTTACATTTCCTCCAACAGTGTACAAGAGTTTCTTTCCTCTACACCATTGCCAACACTTGTTTTCTCTTTTCTTTTTGACAATAGCCATCCCAACAGGTGTGAGATGATATCTCATTGTGGTTTTAATTTGCATTTCCCTTATGATTAGTGTTGTTGAGCACATTTTCATAAAGCATTTGGGTGTTTTATGTCTTTTTTGGAAAAATATATATTGAGGTCTTTTGCTCATTTAAAAATCAAATTATTTGGTTTTTTGCTACTAATTTACGTGAGTTCTTTATATATTTTGAATATTAACTCTTTATCAAATATGCAATTTGCAAATATTTTCTCCCATTCCCTAGGTTGTCTTTTTATTTCGTTGATTGTTTCTTTTGCTCCCAGAAGCTTTTTATTTTGTAGTCCTACTTTTTTAGTTTTGCTTTTTTGCCTTTGAATTTGATGTTATATTAAAAAAATAATTGTAAAGACCTATGTCAAGGAGCTCTTTCCCTCTGTTTTCTTCTAGGAGCTCTATTATTTCAGACGTTACATTTAAGCCTTTGATTTATTTTGAGTGAATTTGTATATGGTGTAAGACATGGATCTAATTTTAGTATTTTGCATGTGAATATACAGTTTTCCAAATACTATTTATTGAAAAGACATGAAGATTTTCATAGAATTATTTAGTAATTCATTACTTTTTCAAACATTTGTATAAAAATTCATCTTTATTATTAAACTAATGCAGATTTGCAATTCAACTATTTTAATTATAGCTTACTCTTTTTTAACTTTATTGAATAATATTAAATATTTTAAAATACTGTTTAAAATATTAGAATATTTTGAATTTTACTTTGTGTCATTTGCATTAATTTTAACTAAAGTATTTACATTTTCTTCTCTTTTAATGTAATTGCAATTTTTAAAGATGAGCAGTATTTAATAATATAACCATCAACTATATTCTCATAATTAAAAGCTGAAGCATATTGTTATTCTCTCCACTAAACATAATTATGCTATTTTGGTAGAAATTTATTTTACTCATTGTATTTGTATTATTTTTGCATTGTAATAGCATTAAGAGTTTGTGTAGTTTCTGGAATCACACAAGAATAGTAATCTAGTTGGAATCAACAAGTTTTATTCAGTTCAAAGAATTTATTCTAAACATCAATGTAACATCATAATGTTTTGAATACTTTATGCATATAAACTTGGGTTGCACAAATACCTATGTAATTGTAATTGCTATTTAAACAGTAAATATATTATTGATGATGTGATTACATTTTTCTCATTAAAAAATATGTAGAGAATTTTTAAATGGGAAATTCAAGACATACTATTGATTCAAAATTGAGTGAAGGTGTATTTAGTAGATACCAGTAAAAGTAATATAAATAAATTGCACAAGTGTCAAAAACCACTGTACCATACCACTCCTGTGGGCATTTTAATTATGGCAGACCCTACTAAGAGTTGTATTTATGGTTACCTTGTAGGTTGTAGATAGGGCTTAGACTCACTCAAACTAAGAGCAGGCCATTCTAAATATACACTGTATTCAAAATTGTGTCATGTTTTCCAATAATTTAGAGTCCTAATAGAAAAAAATGTCCATTTATAATAACTGACAGTAAGTTTTCTTAGGTTCATTTAGATTCTCAATTTTATTTAAATTTTGTTACTTTATTAAGCATGTAATAGTTTAACTTATTTATCTTTCTTAGTATATGTATATAAATATATATATTTAGTATATAATTGTTTTAACTTATTTATCTTATTTAGTATTTTTCTTGCAATATATTCTTTAATCCACTGGGTTTTGGTCTATTTGAAAAACATATGGAGAGTCAAATCTTGACATTCTTGAAGGCCATTTTCTGGAAGAATTCTGAGTATGTTTTAATTTGTTTAAATTATTCCTGAAATCCAATTCCAATTGGATTAGATTTGGATTAAAATTGTAATTTTTAAAGAAAACTATTAACATTCTTCAATATTAATGTTATATGTAGTGATATGAAATAAGAATAGAATTTACATTCATATGTAGAGGTTCTGACACTATCCAGTTTCTCTTGTCCTCAAGAAAGAAATCTAAACCTTCTTTTCAATTTGTTGTAGCATTTATTTATTCTTGGCTCAAAAGCCATTACAGAACAATTTGCATATTTAGTCAATTTAATACTATAATATGTTTGCATAAATGAATAATAAAGATTTCATCATTATGTGCCCCACAAAATCGTAAGAAGTTACTAAAATTGATGAGATGAGAATATTGAGGAAAGTCATGATAGATGACAGATAGGACTGCATTATTAATATTATACAATTATTCTGTCAATAAATGTTTTATGATAAACATATACTTAGAATTTATATACATAAAATTTATTGAATATACATACTAATCTCAACATTTCTGTCTGTTGCTCATTCTCTTACATAATTTCAGTAGTGGCATGTAAATTTAAAATATTATTTTTAAATTATGATATATTTTTCCACATTGTACTTTGGCACCCAGTTTTATATTTGTAGGGCATTTATCAAATTGTTCTTAATATGTGTTGAAACAGTTCATTTACAAATACTATGCATCAGTTTTTCTTTCACTATAGAGTTAAATGATTGTAGAGTTTACCTTTTTTTATTTAAATTAGGATTTTTGAATACATTATTTTCAGGCTTAGAAAATATTATGTATGGCATTATCTTAGCGAATGCTTTGCTTGGGTTCTGTTTCTTGTGAATAATTTTGATTACTATTGAGTGAAATGATACTACAAATTAATCATTTATATTCTGTAAGAAATAATTCTCATGTGTGTTGTACAAGCACATTTTAATAGTTTTCTAAATCATTATAAAAATCTGTAACAAAAATAGGTTATGTATACATATACACACACACATTCACACACATACATGTGCACACACAATATAGTGAAGAAAACCAGTGTAATGTACATCCTTATTCAAAAATAAATTTGAAAATAATAAATATGTTACCTTCAACTTTATACGTTAAATCAATTATAATCCCTAAGAAACTTTTCAATTACTGTTTTTCAGATTGATTTTTGTACTATGAGAGAAGTACCTACACACATTTTTGTAGTTTACCAAGGGGAAAAACTGCTCATTTTGTGCTTTCTGAAAATGCAAACTAAATTATGCTACAGGAGATATAAAATTGTGTCATCTACATGTAAATTGGTTTTGCAACCTGAGGAAGGGGTGTATTTTGCATTTATTATGTTAAGATCTTATCACAGTATCAAATGGATTAGATTTTATTAAGAATAATATAAACAACTTTTTTTTACAGAAACTAAATTGAACTGAACTACACAATTAATTACTAAGACTCATTAATTCCTTCACAATACAGTTATAAAAACAGTAAAAGTGTAATGTTTTATGAACATTAAAGTATACATTCTTGCCTAATGAAGCTTTTAACCCTCTAGCTACTAAATAAAGTATGGTTTAAAAGTTCAATTATACCTTAAAACCCTTTCAAACTTGAAATAGCTAATGAAAGAAGATTGTTTTCACTGCTCTTTTGTCTAATCAGAAAGGGCATTGCCACTGATAATTACTTTGAACCGTCTCAATATTAGAAGTCTTTAAAATACTAAGTGTAATAACTTCTACAGACATAAGAGCAACTCACTAATTTCCTAATGCTTGAAAATACATTTCAGCTGCAGGACCTCCAATACATCCAATGAACCCTCCAATATTGCCTACCCTTGGATTGTAACGATAACCTATTCTACAAATACTTGTGATTTGGGTGGTATTCAGGGGTGGCTATAGTTTAGATGTTCGTTCCCTGAAGCCTCATGTTGAAATTAGATCCCAGTGTTGGAGGTAGCATCTTAATGGGAGATGTTTGAGTGGAGCAGACTCCTCATGAATAGATTAATGCTCTACAGGGCGTGGGATGTGACTGAGTTCTTGCTCTGTTAGTTCTCATCAATGTGGTTGTTAAAAAGAGCCTGGAAACTCCCTTTTCTCTCTTGCTTCCTCTCTCACCATGTGATCTTTGCCCATGCTGGCTCCTCTGCCTTCCACGGGAGTGGAAGCAGCCTGAGACCCTCACCAGATGCAGATGCCCAATCTTGAACTTTTCTAGACATCAGAATTGTGAGCCAAGTAAATCTTTCCTTTTTATAAATTACACCTCCTCATGTATTCCTTTAAAACAACATAAAACAGTCTAAGACAGAAAATTGGTACCAAGCAGTGAGACATTGATGTAAAGATACTTGAAAATGTAGAAGTGGCTTTGAAACTGGGTAATGGGCAGAGACTGGAAGAGTCTGAAGGGCTCAGAAGCAGACAAAAAAGATGAGGGAAAGTTTGGGCCTACTTTAAGATTGGTTAAGTGGTTGTGACTAAAATGCTAATAGAAATGTAATCAGTAAAGGCCATGCTGATGAGATCTAAGATGGAAATGAGGAACTGATTGGGAATTGGAGCCAAGGTCACTCATGTTATGTTGTAGTAAAGAAGTTGGCTGTATCGTGTTCATGCCTTAGGGCTTTGCAGAAACCTGGACTTAAGAGGGATGATCTAGGCCGGGCGCGGTGGCTCACGCCTGTAATCCCAGCACTTTGGGAGGCCGAGGCGGGCGGATCACGAGGTCAGGAGATCGAGACCATCCCGGCTAAAACGGTGAAACCCCGCCTCTACTAAAAATACAAAAAATTAGCCGGGCGTAGTGGCGGGCGCCTGTAGTCCCAGCTACTCGGGAGGCTGAGGCAGGAGAATGGCGTGAACCCGGGAGGCGGAGCTTGCAGTGAGCCGAGATCCCGCCACTGCACTCCAGCCTGGGCGACAGAGCGAGACTCCGTCTCAAAAAAAAAAAAAAAAAAAAAAAAAAAAAAAAAAAAAAAAGAAAGAGGGATGATCTAAGGTACTGGCAGAAGAAGTTTCCAAGCAGCGAAGTGTTCAAAAAGTGGTATGGCTACTTTTAACCACTTAGAATCAGATACAGCAAAAAAGGAATGACCTAAAGGTGGAATTTATAATTGAAAGGGAAGCAGAGAAAAACAATTTTAAAAACATGCAGCCTGTTCATGTGGTAGGAGAGAAAATAGTATGTTCAGGAGAGGAATCCAAGCATGCTGTGGAGCAACCATTTACTAAAGAGATTAGCGTGACTAAAAGGGAGTCAGGTTCTAATAGTGAAGACAATGGGAAAAAGGCCCTGAAGTCATTTCAGAAATCTTTGAGGTTGCCTCTATCATCACAGGCTTAAAGGAATAGAAGAAAGAATGGTTTTGGGCACCAGGCTTGGCAAGTTGTTGCCTTGCGTCACCTTGGGATGCTGCTCCCTGCATCCTGGCCACTACAGCTTCACCCATGGCTCAAATGGCTCCACAAACACCTTAGTCCACTGCTTCAAAACACAAAGCTGTAAGCTTTGACAGTTTCCATGTGGTATTAAGTCTGCAGGTTCCCAGAATCCAGGAGTGGTGGAGGCTTGGTTGCTTCCACCTAGATTTTGGAGGATGTACTGAAAAGCCTGGGTGCCCAGAAGAAGCTTGCCACAGAGGTGGAGTCAACTCAGAGTTTCTGCTAGAGAAGTGCCTAGTGGAGCTTTGGGAGTAGAGCCACCACCCTCCAGTCCCAAGAATTAGAGAATTATACAGCCATTGGAAGCCTGCACTCTCACTCTTAAAGACCACAGGCATTTGACAACAATCTGTGAGAGTAGCCACTTGGGCTGTGTCCAGCAAAGTTATTAGGTGAGGCTGACCAAGGTATCAGGAGCTCACTCTGCACACGAAGATTCTCAGGATGTAGGACATGGAATAAAGGAAGATTTTGGAGCTTTAAGATTTAATGTCTGTCCTGCTGCGTTTGGACTTGTGTGAGGACTGAGACCCTTTGGTTTTGGACAATTTCTTCATTTTGAAAAGGAAATGTTTACCCAATGCTTGCAAAATCATTGTATCTTGAAAGTAAATAAATTTTTATTGATCCTAAAGGCTCATAGCTGAAAGGAACTTGCCTTGAATCTCAGATGAAACTTTGGACTTTAGAGTTGATGCTGGAACAAGTTAAGACTTTTGGGAACTATTGACATAGAATGATATGACATTGTGTAGTATTTTGTATGTCAGAAGGACATAAGATTTGGAGAACCAATGTCATAAGGTGGTGTTTTGGTCAAAGAAGCAAACCTCTCATGAAGAGATTAATGCTCTTCCTGGGTAGGAGGCAGTGAATGAGACTTCTCATTCTATTAGTTCTTACAAGAGTTGATTGTTAAAAAGAAGTTGGCGCCTCCTCTGTCTCTCTTGTTTCCTTTCTCACCATGAAATCTCTGCACATACCAGCTCCCTTTCACCTTCCACATGAGTGGAAGCAGTCTCAGGCTGTCACCAGATGCAGATGCCCAATATTGAACTTTTCCAAACATAAAAATTATAAGCCAATTAATTTTTTTCTTTATAAATTACTGAGCTTCATGGATTTCTTAAAAGCAACACAAAATTGACTAAGACAGGGTAGAAGGATTTATGTTCTAGATTATTTTAAATTGATGAAATGTAACCATAGGTTTTAAAATTAATTTATGTTTAACTCTTTATTATTAGTAATGATGGTAGCACACAGTGGTTAAAAATATGCACAGACCCAATTTGAATGCTTGCTTGAATTTGTTTATTTGCGAATGGTTAATAAAAGTTTAAATTTATAAAAATAAAAATCAGGAAATTATTTAGTTTGACATTTTCTTCTTAATAAACTAAGAATCTAAAGCTAAGATCTACCAAAACCATAAACAGGGATTATGTAGCAATTTAATAGCAAGGCTGGTGTTATAATGCTGAATTCATAATAACATAGTAAGCCATACCCTGTACCTGAATTAGCCAATTGTCCACTAAAATTTCTGCACCCCTTTCATGTTTTCAAGATGTTGTCAAGGAGTAGCTTCTTACTACATAGGTACTGAAATCACAGAGATGTGCGCATTTGACTAATTCTAGCAAAGCAATGAAAGTGAAAGTAATGTGCCACTTCCTGGTCAAAGGTTTTGAAAACTAGATCTTACTTTAAAACCCCCTTAGCATTAGTTGGATGAAGACAACAATGATGCTCTAGTGGATGAAAAAACTGTGACCCCAAATATTTCTTTTTTTTTTTTTTTTGAGATGGAGTCTCGCTCTGTCGCCCAGGCTAGAGTGCAGTGGCACGATCTCAGCTCACTGCAAACTCCACCTCCCAGATTCAAGTGATTATCCCACCTCAGCCTCCTGAGTAGATCGGACTACAGGTGTGTGCCACCACACCAGGCTAATTTTTGTATTTTTTGTTAATACAGAGTTTCCCATGTTGATCAGGCTTGTCTTGAACTCCTAACTTCATGTGATCCACCTGCCTCAACCTCCCAAAGAGCTGGGATTACAGGTGTGAGCCTCTGTGCCTGGCTGTGACCTCAAAGATTAGATCTCTGAATCACCATGTAAAGCAGCGGTCCCCAACATTTTTGGCACCAGGGACAGGTTTTATGGAAGACAATTTTGTCACAGGGGGTTAAGGGGATGGCTTGAGGATGAAACTGTTGCACCTCAGATCATCAAGCATTAGTTTGATTCTCATAAGGAGCATGCAACCTAGATCCCTCACATGCACAGTTCACAATAGGGTTTGTGCTACTCTGAGAATCTGATGTCCTTTCTGATCCAACAGGAGGCAGAACTCAGGAGGTAAAATTTGCTCTGCTCCTGCTCACCTCCTGCTGTGTGACCCGGTTCCTAACAGGCTAGAGACTGGTACTGGTCCTCAGCCTGGGGATTGGGGACCCCTGATGTAAAGGAAAATTGCCCTCTAACTTACAGCTGCAATCTTGTTATTTTGAGTGAGAAATAAAGTTTTACTGTTATGTCAGTGCAATTTGAAGGCTCATTTAATACGGTGGCTTTATAATCTAAAACAATATCTCTTCACCTGCGAAATAAGCTATTTAAATATAATAGATTCCATTAGCTTTAATGATTTTAATTTTTAACTTTTTTGTATGTATTTTTATGAAAGATGAATGAAATTTCTATGAATTCTTAACAATTAATCTTTCTTTCCTTGGTTTCCTCTGCATCATGCCTTAAATTATATAATGAAAAACTAAAAATTAGAAATCAACATAAAGTACGTTTCATTCTGTAACATGCATTCCGAAAAAATATAGGTTTAATATTTTGTTATAATTATTTTGTTAATAAGTATTTTTGTTTTAAAATTTTGGTTTTTACTAATATTAATAAAGATTTATATAATTTGGGGCCAAAAGTTGAATTCAGATATTTGATCATCATTGATATGTGATAATATATTCATAAAATATTTGACATATTAAATAAATAATGAATAATAAAAATGTATTTATAAGATATTATAAACAGATATATTATTTTTAATGGATATATTAAATTTATGCAAATTTTGATATCGAAATACAAAATTAAATATTAATATTTTATATAACTAATATATAATAAATAATTAGATGAATTTATTGTTATATATCTAACAATAAATTATTGTTAGATAATTATTTTACTGGAATTAATAAAAGGACTGCATTGTCAAATCTAACTAACATAAACAACAACCTTACTCACTATCAAGCTTTCAAAATAATTTCAATCATACCAGCATTTAAGAATTAGACGTGAAGCAAGGAGACATCTGGGACATTGTTGAGAGCTCACAAATCTTTCCTTCTCATAGAATAATTGTTATTTGGCTCAGGTTTACATAGAAAGTATTAAATTTGGTTTTTTTTTCAGTCACATAGCAGATATGTTTCACTTACAAAAAATATCTATTTTATGCCTAAGATCTTCACCTAGCATCTGCAATATTTTCTGGGGACCTTTGCACATGAATCCATAAATTCCAACTATGGGTTTTTAAATTATGGATTTACCATAAGCAATTCTAATAAATTCTAATATGTAATATTCTAGTTCTTAGAATATTATGTAGATAAATATTATCTTCCTAAAAAATATGATCAACCTATTTATAGTTGGAGTAGTTGTTAGTATGTTTATAGGAAGGCTATTCCTGCTTGCCTGGCTTTTTCTCCACCCCACCCCCAGGAACTTCTAAGGTAAGTATGAAGAGACAGATCACAGGCTAGCTATTTTAACATATTCTATCCTCTTCTGTGATCTCAGTCATTATTATCTTGCTGGATGTTACTCAGGTATCTTTTTTATAATTTACATTTTCTACAATATCTCATACAAAAAAATAAGCCAACAAATATTTTCAATGAACACACTAATTTGAAATTTCCAAAGAAGAATATGAATTTCCTCTACAAATCATGTTAATTGTGACCATATTCCTTGATATACTTCTCAATATTCTTCTACCAATTTGATCTTTCTTCATCAAGAAAGATCATTCTTTTTGATATTCTTCTACCAACTGATTTTTCTTTATCATTCAGAATTATTTGAAAAATTTAATAGGTGTTAACAAACTTTGGTATGAATAATTTTAAGGATAAATTCACTTATTGGTTTCCATGAATTTTATATCAACTGGAATCTTAACTCAGTCTCCCAAAATATTTTCTCACCTTGGGAATCATCATTTGTGTAAAACTTCTTTTTATATAATTTTGTCTAAAAACTTTTACAGGTTTTGTCACACCTTATAGCAAAATCAGAGGTATCAAGGTAGTAATTGACATGCCATACATCAGTTGAACTCACAGTACCATCCTCTCTTTCATCATAGCAGACAAAGATGCTTTTCCACATAATAAACTTTCCTGGTATCTTGTGTGCTTAATAGAAGTTATTATTTAGTAAGTTTAGATTTCTATCTGGGTAGTGAATATAACGACACTACAGAAACTATAGTACAGATTTTTATATTTTTAGGACCATATAACTGCATTAGGAGGTTGTTCCTTTATCTCTTCAATCCCAATCAGGCGCCCCTTAGTTCATGGTACTCAAGCCATTTGAGAACAGTGGAAAAAAAATACACCGTTCAGTTACACATTCCCATGGTGTAGGCTTCTCATGGTTTTTTCACAGCTTATTTTTGTGGCTTGATTCTCTAGCATCCTGGATCATAGCCCTTTAATGGCATAGACTCCATAGTGATCAGATATCCAACAGTCTTATAGTCTGTTGTTAAATTTGTTATTGATGGGGATGGTTATTGATGGGGATGGTACTACATTTCAGTCATTATTCAATGGTCTATTTAATTGCATCTTTGATGTATCTTCATATCTACTTCCAGCTACACTACTCTAATGAAATTGAGTTTCATCAAGTATTCCTGTTTGGGTGAGCAATGATGATTTTGTTACTAAGCAATAAATGGGCTCACTTCCAGATGCGCATAGAAGTACCATGGCACCAGCTATTGAAAAAAAAATTAAAAATTATTGCAAGTTGACTAGCAAGGAGACAAGAGAAAATGCTGAAATCTGTCTTCTTGAGCTGGAGCTGGATTGGTTTTATAAGCGTAGGTTAATCAGCCATGATGTGAGTGGATATCACAATGAAATAATGCCAGGAGGCATGATCTGACTGGATCCTACCATGGAGAGACGCCAGGGCTCAATCTGAATTGAATCCTGAATCCTGCCATGCAGTGTTCAATTCTTAATTCAGTCCCTGCACCAAGGTCCCAGTGCTTAGGTTCTGCCCTTGAATGCTTGCTTGGTTTATCAGACATATTGTTTAAAATCAATGTAACTGCTCCACATTTGTTTTGATTAATGGTACTATGGTATATATTTTTGCATCTCTTCATTTTAATCTAACTTTAACTAATTCTTGCATATAACATATAATTGGGTCTTTTTTTCTCATACTTTAAGATGATACCTTTGTTCTAGGTGGTATATTCAGACCACATTTAAAGCTCCTATTAATAGAGTTGGTTTAGTATCTACCATGTTGGCAACTGTTTTCTGCCTGTAAATTTGTTTTTTTCTTGCTTTCCCTTTTCTAGCTTTGATGGTGTTAATTGAACATTTATATAATTAAATTTTATTTCTTCCCTTAGCATATTAATTAGACTTCAAAAAATTTAGCAATTGACCTAGAGTTACAACATACATGTTTAACCAATCAAATCCCACCTTCAAACTACTATAATTTATAATGGACTATTTCCAGTTTTTCCTTAGTGTCCCATAGGATATTGTTGTTATTTATTTCATGAATTCATAACCTACCGTCACCCAATACTTTGTTATAATTTCTTTAAACAAATGGTTTTTAGGTTGGTTAGGATAACAAAAATAAAATATTTTATTTTTCATTCAGTTATTATTTTTCTGATCTTTCTATTTCTATGAAGATCAAATTTATGACATATTATTTTTCTACTACTTAAATAAATTTTAGCATTTCTTGCGTGACAGCTCTGAGTGCTAGGGTACCTTCAGTTTTTGCTTGAGAAAATCTATATTTATCTTTAACTTTTGAAGGATCTTTTCACTGTACATAGAATCTAGATTAGTGGGGTTTTGTTTTTCAACACTTTAAATATTTCACTCTAGTCTCTTCTTGCTTATGTGGTTTCTGATGAAAAGTCTGATGTGTTTTTTTACTGCTCTCTCTTTAGGTCATCCTTTCTCTTCCTTTGGCTTCTTTCAATGTTTTCTCTTTGTTTTATGTTTTCTGTAGTTTGATTATAACATGATTAGCTTAGTATATTTTTCTATTAATGTTACTTGATGTGTTCACTGAGCTTGCTGAATCTGTGGTTTGATGCCTGTCATTAAACTGAGAAATTCATTATGGTGTCTTCAAATGTTTACTTCAAATATTTCATCTCCCTCCCTCCCTCCTCCCTTCTTCCCTTCCTCATCTTCCCTCCCTTCCTTCCTTCTTTTTTTCTTTCTCTTCTTTCTCTCTCTTTCTTTCTCTTTCTTTCCATTCTTTCTGCCTTTCTCTTTCTTTCCTTTCTGTCTTTCCTTCCTTCCTCCCTCCCTCCTTCCTTCTTTCTTTCTTTCTCCCTCCTTTCTTTCTCTCTCTCTTTCTTTCTTTCCTTCTTTCCTTTCTGAAACAGCAAAGTATGTGTATTATACACCTATGAATTGGTCCCACAGTTTTGGAATGTTTGATTCCCTTTTTTAAACTATATTTTATTCTTTACTTTTTAATTTGGGAAGAGTATATTGATTTATTTTAGCTTCTATAGACCTTTAAACTCACAGTTTAATTTCTTCGCTGTATTCTGCCTACTGATTAGCCTAAGACAGTTGTTATTTATATTGCAATGTTTTCTATTATTTACTTTTGATTCTTAGCATTTCCTTCTCTATTCTTGAAACATGTTAATTTTTTCTCTTATAATTATTAACATTTTAACCATAGTTACTTTAAATTTATTATCTGATAACTCCAAAATATGAATCTTATCTGAATCTGGTTGTAATTCTCATGGGATTCTTGAGGTGATGCTTTTCTGGCTTGAAACCTCTGTGGTCAGTGATGCCTTTGCCCTAGCTTTGCTCAGGTCCACTAGGCTCATTCCACCCACTCAGCCTAGCTGGCTGCACTCAGCTCGCAGTACCAGCCTAAATCCCATCCCTGCCAAAGGTGACCCAGGTGCAAAGCACTGAGGGATGTGGGAACAAGCATGGGGTCCAGTCACTGCACACAGCTAGGCACCTTGGCTGCGGTGGGGTGGGCAGCTCCAGGTGCTGGCACAGGCGCCAGCTCCTTGCTGGCTGCTCCTGGAATAGGAGTACTGCAAGCAGCTTCCACAGCTGGCACCAGGGAACTTGGTGGCACCCAGAAGCTTAGAAATACCAGGAACTGCATAGCCCCAAAGAGAGTGTCAAGTCCTGGCTCAGGGAGCTCTAGGTCTGGCTCTTCAAAAGGCTACAGCCCTTCTCTCTTTTTCTCCTCTCTTCTTCTTGTCACCCACACGTGGCAAGCAAGAGGCACATTTCAGCCCTGTTTGTGTTACATCACTTTTGTCCCTGTCATTTGGTAGGTCCTGAGTTCTTGCCCTGTGCCCAGGAAGAAAGTGGTATGTGGACAAGTGGAGGGTAAACAAGGTCAAGTGAACCTTTAATTGAGTGATAGAACAGCTCAGAGGAGACCCACAGTGGGTAGCTCCTCTCCCCAGACAGGATATCCTGATGAGTGTTCAGCTTTCAGCAGAGAGGAGACCCTGGGGTTGCTAGCTCCTCTCAGCAGCTGATTTACCTGTCATTTGCTCAAGTTTGGCTGAGTCTGGGGCACTTACGGGCTTCAGAGGGGAGAAGGTGCATGCTGATTGGTGCACAGGTGGCCATAGGCAGGCTGGAAAAAGCACTGCAAGTACCTATTCCAGTCCAGGGGACTGGCAGTCCAGCCCCCAGGCTTCAGGCCCTCCCCAGCTTGAAGGTGGGTCCTCACCAAGGACCCACCCTCTTCTGTTCAGAAGCCTGTCTGCCTCCTGCTGCTGTCCATGGTGCTCAGGATGTTTATGCCAAGGGGCGCCTGCAGACCAGTACAAAGCTGCCCTCGGCACTCCCTCTGCCTCCCTTCCATGCTTGTCTGTTCCCAAAGTCTGGAGAGGGCTGAAGTGCAAGGAGGCTGGTGTGTCAACATGCCCTGAGTGTATGCACACCTGTTTGGGCTGCAACAGCACCCTGGCTGCTCAGCCCCAACCTTGGTACAAGATCAGGGTAGGTGCTGGGAGCAGGTTGCAGTCAGGCAGCAGGAGCAGGCACCTCCAAGCCTGTGGGGGTAGTGGGGGTCTTCTGGATCCCAAAGAGTGCAGATATGGCCATTCCACAGCCATGACTTGGGCAGCTGCAGCTGCACCCAGGAGGGTGGGGCTCCTGCCTGCTCCCAGACCCCAAGAGCACAGGGATGCCTGACTTCACAGCTGCAACTTGGGCTGCTGCAGTTGCATGCAGGAGAGTGAGGCTCCTGCCTTCTCCCATCAGCTCTGTGGAGCATGCAGCCCAGTCGTGATTCCCCTACTGCAGCTGGCATGTTGGCAGCAGTGTCTCCAGGTGGGCCTCTACTGCCATCGTAATGTTTCCTTTGTCTCTTAAGACTATGCTTTTTCTTTTAGCATTAATTATGGCTTGTTTGGTGAAAGCCAGATACCATGTATTATGCAATAGAAATTGAGGTAAACAGGCCTTTAGTTTGAGATTGTATGCTAATCTAACTGAACCTTAGACAGAGCCGAATCCTTGCTGTAGCTGCAGGTGCCACAGGATTCAAATCCCCTCTTAGCCCTTATTTTGTCTCCACTTTTGTCTTTAGGTTTCTCTTAGAATTTCTCCTTACATAGAGTCTGTGCCTTGATGTTCTTTCTGGTATAATCCAATATTATTTAACTGGAGCCCTGTTGGTGAGGAAGTAAATTGTTGGGGAGTGGAAGCATTCTATATTCTTATTATTAGATCTCTATCAGGGTTCCTAGGCTGTGTCCATAGACCGTCACAAGTCTTTGTTAGCTTTCTTTTCCTGACTCTTAAATGAGAAAAGAAGGCTATGGGGGCTACAATGAGATAAATGTCTCTTCACAAGGTGAGATAAAAGCCTGCTGGCTGGGCACGTTGGATCATGCCTATAATCTTAGCACTTTGGGAGGCTGAGGTGGGCAGATCATCTGAAGTCAGGAGTTTGAGACCAGCCTGGCCAACATGGTGAAACCCCATATCTACTAAAAATACAAAAAATTAGACAGATGTGTTGTTGGGTGCCTGTAATCCCAGCTACTAGGGAGGCTGAGGCAGGAGAATTGCTTGAACCCGGGAGGTGGAGGTTGCAGTGAGCCAAGATCGCAAAAGTGTATTCCAGCCTGGACAACAGAGTAAGACTCCATCTCAGAAACAAAACAAAGAAAACAAAACAAAACGAAAACCTGCTAAACTCTTTTCCCTTGGAGAATAAGCCTGTGTTATGAAGAAGGATCTGATTATATTTCAGAATGTTTACTCTTCCCTTTTCTCTACCAGCACCTTGAGGAGATCTCTTTAAATTCTTCATTATGAGAACTTGGTGGAGTTTCTAGAAGTAAAGCCTACTAAAGTGTATGGGCCTCCTTAAGACGGAAGTTCTTAGTAGTTCCTCGCTCTCAAAACTGTCCACACGCAGATTAGTATGGCACATCATCAAAATTACCATTTAAGTTTTTCTACCAATTGATGGCTCCACCAGGTTCTGCTTAAAGTAACCATAACTTGGCTGTGACTTCTGGATTTGACTGTGTTTCCAGATCTTAGGGTGACATTTCTGTCCTGTGACCTGAGTTATCTAATAAGTTTAAGGAAATTTGTTGCTTTCAATGCACTTAGCTTTTTCTTTATGTAAGTATAAGAATCACTGTATCCAATATCTTTATATGTGAAAACTAAAAGAAGTCCTCATATCTATTTTTTTGTACACATTCACTTAACCACCCAATCCATACTTTGCGAGCAGTTTCAAGTAAACTGTCTTTGAGTAATCCATTTTTATTATTCTATGAGACAACTTCTATCTTTCTCTTTACTTTCCAATTTGGGAAATGCCTATTGGCATCAGTGAAATCTGAACTTTGGAAGAAATATAAGCAGATGGGATTAATTGACAGAACATTTTCTGTTTCAAAACTTTAAACATATTATTGGAGGTTACTTATTTTATAAGGTAAGAAAATCCTATAGTAGATTAAGAGCCCAAGTTAACACCTTATAACCTCTTAAGGCTACTGGTAGATGTTCTATGTAATCAAATTGCCAGCTATATGGCAAGTCTTATACTTGGAAATTTTAGCCATAGCCACTTTCAAGCCGTCCTCACCTTTTGACATTGAATATAGTTTCTTATTTTACTATCAGTTTCATCAAGTACAAGGGGAATGTGCCGTCCGTCAGCCTATTGTGCATGGCATAAGCACCTATATATTTATATAAAATATATATACATATATATGTATATTTTGTGAATCCTGATAACTAATTCTAGGAATTGTATTTAGACTTTTGCCTTAGCATTTTCATTTTCTTTTGAGACTGGAACTGTTTTGCTAGTTTTTGTTGGTTATTTAGTGCACTCATTTGTTCTTACTCTGAATTCCTATAGAGATTGTCTATGTAGAAAATATTAGTTGGGTAGGTATGGTGGTTCATGCCTGAAATCCCAGCACTTTGAGAGGGTGAGCTGGGAGAATTACTTGAGGCCAGGAGTTCTGAGACCAGCCTGGACAACATAGGAAGGTCTCATCTCAACAAAAAACTTAAAAATGAGCCAGGCATGGTGGCATTCACCTGTAGTCCCAGCTACTCAGGAGGCTGAGGCCAGAGAATCACTTGAGCATGGAAGTCTGAAGTTGCAGTGAGGTATGATTGTGCCATTGCACACAGCCTGGGTAACAGAGCAAGACCTAGTCTCTAAAAAAAAGAAAAAAAAAAGAAAAAAATGAGGCCTCTATAAATAGGCTTCTAGAAATTTTAAGTGTATTTACCTAGGAAAAACAGAAAATAAAACAACTCTGCCAAAACAAAAGAAAAGTAAACCCTGTATTCTAGTTGGTAAATTTGTTTTTCTTAGATATACCAATTATTAATACCAAAACCACTTTACATGTAAACTAGGTTAAACAAATATTTGAAAAAAATTTAGATACTAGATCCGGGTTTTTGCTGTTAGAGAAAGAAGTTACAAATAAGCAAAAAAAGTTGTCTCATATTAACTCTGTTGTTCATAGTCAAAAATATCAATATGAAAAATAAATTAAAAGCTTATTTATTTTGTTATAAACATAATAATATATATTATATAAAATAAAATTAAAAGTTTATTTTAACACGTATATCCAGATCAATTACTACAGAATAAGTATAAATATATTGGTATATATGGTCAGATCTTGGTTTCCAAGTACCATTTTCTACTAAAAGAAACCAGACGTCTTTGGAGAGATGGCTGATTTTAGCACTGGGGAAGAGATTATATAAGACAATTCTGGAGCATCTTATAGTCCCCTCCCCAAAAAACGGATATCAAAAACATACTGGAGTAAACCTGAACTTGAAAGCCTTTCTAATGATGAAAACTGACACAATTTGAGCCACATAATCAACAATATTACTACTGGATTTTAACACAAAGAATAAAATAAATATCCATGAGCATATACTGATAGAAATAAATGGAAAAATAAATGAGAGAGACTAATGTAATTTAATACAATTTCCAAATAACATTATAGATACCTCTTCTTCCAGAATGCTTCTCCTCCTCTTGAAGTTGTGCTTGATTTTGTGACTTGCTTTCAAAGAATAGGCAGGCTCTGAAAAACTTATATTTAAAAGGAGACATTAAATATTTTAAACTTGGCATGCCAGAGATCTCTGTGACAAATACTCAACTCTGTTATTGTAAAAATGTTTCAAAGCAGCTTAGATAAAGCATAAATTAATAGTTATGGCAATGTTTCAGTAAAAACTTCATTTACAAAAATGAATGGTAGGCCAGATTTGGCCTGTGGGTCACAGTTTTTCACCCTTTTGAATCGAGAATGGAAAAAGGAAAAAATAGTAACTTCACCGTGGATAAACCTGTCAAACAGTACTTTAACCATCTATTTCTAAATGATGAAGATTAACATCAACAGTGACAAGGCATGTAAATATTATGTGCCTCCTGATCAGGTGAAATGAGATGAGCACTCACCTTTATGGTATTCTTCCCCAAAACCCATAACCCCTGTCTAATTATGAGAAAACATCAGACAAATCCAAATGGAAGCACACTTTACAAAAAACTGCTTTTAATCGTTCAGAACTCTCAAGGTCATGGATAACAAAGAAAGACCCAAAGATACCTCTTAAATCTCCTATTGAAATAGCTCTTTATATTTCAGTGTGAATGTATTTGTATCTAATTATGAGGATTAGAATTTATAGTGGAAAGTTATTGAACAGAGAGTTGAATTTATCCCCTAAGCTAAAACCAGGGGGTCTTAAAAAGATTAAAACTGAAAAAGGTAGAACAGGATGTACTTTCCCAACACTTGGGCTAGGAGAGATTCCCAAGTAGCCTCAGGTTAGTATGCAAAACTTTTTGTGACTACTTTTTGGGCACTCTTCATGTCCCAAAGTTGATACTTGAAGATTTCATGGTGATGGATAAAGTCATAGGAAATGTATGATTCAAAAATTGACTGTAAACCGTCTTCTTGGTTGTATCCCCATTACCTGGATGCATAATTGAAAAAAAAATAGGTGCAAATGGAAGGCTCTGCCTTTTCCATCTTCATATGGAATGTCAACTGTCTGCTTTTTGTCCAATTTTAAATGGACATGCTGAAGGGAGACTTCATAATATCCCATATTTACCCATAATAAACATTAAGCTAAGTAGGATGCAACAAGAGATCATTGCTCTTTTTGGAAGTGGTTAATAAAAGAGCAATAATTTCCATTAACTCCCTATTTAATATTTCTATTAGACTGGTGTTCTGGCCAGATTGTTCATAGAGACTAACAATATGAATAACTATTTATAGAGACTAATCACAAACTTTCAGAGATTAAACAAAATGGTTCTCCAGAGTCCCTCAGCCATGTCTGATACAATAAAGACTACACAGGAACTGAAGAAGGCCAAAGATGATTAGTAGAACACAGTATGCTGACTAATGCTTTATTCTCAATTTTTACCTTAGAATCCAGTAAGGCAAAATTTGCATTTTCTAGAAATGACAGTTAATATTTAAGGATTTCCTATAGGCATAGTGATTTTGCCTGCATACTATCTTAATCTAGTTCAGTGAGGCTTGGACTTGGACTTGCTAAATTTTAAAAGCAAGGTAATGTACTACAATGCTTATTTGATAATTCCCTAGAGGGTGAACTGAGATATTTAGGAATTTAGTAGCCACTCATACGACCACTAAAGAGTGGATCCACATTCAATTAACTTTAAAGTACAACCCCGTCCATGATATGTTTTGTAACGACATGGGTAGAAGTAATTGGAAACATCCCTTGAACTGTGAGGAATACATTATTTCTTACAGTGCCACTAAAGAGGAAACCCAGGGACTGGTGGGACCATTTGGGTTTGGACAAAATCACATTGCCCATTTAGAAATACTGCTGGTCTCTATTCACAAACTCACCAGAAAGAAATGTGAATTTGAGTGGGACTTTGAACAGAAACAGGCATTAAATGCTTCACAAAGGTTTACAGCTCAGGCTTTCCCACTGAGACCTTATGACCTGACTGCTCAGATGATTTTAAAAGTGACTGCAACAAGAAAGCACATCAGGAGCGTGTGGTAGAAACTGAATAATGCAACTCAGCAGAGACCACTGGGATTTTAGACTCAAAAGCTGCCTGATATGGTCATTCATTATAGTCTTTTGGAAGATAATTGCTAGCTTTTCACTAGACATTTGTAGAAATGCCCCCAACATAGAAGTATACAAAATAATCCTGAAACAGGTAATACCTGGTGTGTTTTGGGAAATGTAATAGAAATATGCAAATATAGAAGGAGCTGCTCAGCAGAACTCATTGATAAAATGGATATGCTATACTCAAGATAATGAAACATAAAGAAGATCAGGGTGAATTTACCCATACATGAACAGATTGCCTGAGGGCCATGACTTCATCCCTCTGGGGATCTCCCCACTCATTGTTCTATTTCTAAATTCTGTAGTCATCTCCTGGCCAAGACAAAACAAGCTGTTCGATTCCCCATTGGGAGTACCCAAATGGAGGTTTACTTGCTTTTTTTGAAATTGACTTTGCTGTATCCAGCAGATCATAAATCTCTGATAGAAGAATGTTAAGTCAAAAGTGCACAATGAGCAGGGCAGTGAACTATTTATTTAGGGATGGAGGAGGTATTACATTTGTATTCTCCGGATAGTTTGGATATTTGTATAATCTTGCCCCTAAGCCAACAATATTGTGGAAAGGTGGAGTAGTCAGGCAAATGGGCCCAGGATAACCTGACAATAAAATATTCATGTGGGGTACTGTTGTTATAGAATTTAGAGGAAGGTGAATTGCCCTGAAATCATAAAGGTAGACCTTGGAGATGGACTGCTGAGAATGTGCTGGAATTCCGAGAATATTTCATCTAGGTTTTGCTCTCCAAATGGTAGAAGCAACCAGAAATAATGTAATTAAAGTTTTGAAACTGTAAATTATCTAGCATCTTGGCCTACTTCAATATACTTTATCTGATTATGTACTTCACTGCATAATTTTATTCTATTTACCACTTTACAATTTTACTGCCACTAATGTACAAAAAATCAACACAGAAACATATGATATGGACGTATCACATTCTTTATCAGCCTAAGAACAAAAGTTAGATTAAAATTAGAATGGATAATTAGAATACCTGCTGCTTAAACAGATGGTGAAAAAACTTTGGAAAAGCTGGGTAAGTTGACGAAAAACTATATCCTCACACTAAATGAGACAGGAGATGCAGTGTATTGGGAACTTCGGTGAAAATTTTTTTGCAATGGGACAGTTGAAATAAAGTATGAGGAATGATGCAGTACATAACTTCGTGTATTACCCATCTAATAATTTTTTTCTTTTATCTTTCCTGATTTAATTTCATTGAAATCGTGGTTGTATTGCCTGTATTAGTAGAGAGAACTATCAACATACAATTGACAGTGTGTATTTATTCCTAAAGGAATTTCATTATGGCCATAAAGTCACCCCATCTAATCATAGTAGGGTTAACTAATTCCAGCCCATTTACCAAATGGAAGAGAGTTTTGTAACTCTTTTTACCTCCTAAATCCTACTACACTTTCGTAGGGACTGATGTTACTGCATATACTAATGTACTAACAGTACAACCTAGCCAAGCCAAACCAACAGCAAAAGAAAAAAACATCAGGAATGGGAGTGAGGAATATGAATTAAACAGGTAATAAAAGGAAAATGGAAGAAATTATGAAAATAATGAAAGGGCTCACAGATGGGTTATCACCTCAGGGAAGGAGGCAATAGTGTTATTCCCAAAAGTATGTGTCACAGCAAAAAAATAATACTTGTATTTATCGCTTTCAGATCTGATGCTAACGGATGGCTAATGATGGAGGAGCAACTTCACTTATTTTATGTACAGAAAGGAAGATGGTTGGTATCTGTGCATTAAAAATCCACCAGGATAATCTGAAAGAAAGATGGGATTCAGCGTCTTCTGATTATTGAACTGACCAAGAGTTGACTCAAGCTACCATGTGACTCATGAGTTATAAATTTTTTTACTATTTTATTTTTTTTCAGGTATCCTAAGAGAACTGCCACCATTGAATTGCATGGGTAGGGGGCTGATTTGCAGCTGAGCAATTTTTTCACTGTGGATGTAAATTATGGTGACACCTGCCAAGACAAATACCTGGATATAATGGGAAAAAGAATGCTGCTATACTTGCCCAATATTTCAGAGCTTGATTTGCTTCTTCAAATATACAGGCTGCGAATGTGGAGAAATATTTATAAGAAAAGTTTTTACACAGCTTGCATGACCCCAAAGGAGTGATACAGAGGCCACATAACACTAATGATTATCTTTTGAAGCTCTTCAGGGTCACCTCATGGCACAATCAGACTGAGCTGTACTTAAGGATCGAATATCCCTGATTGACTGTTACATGGCATACACAAAATTTTATGTGCACATGGCATATTCAAATTGTCCTGAAACCAAGGATATATAATGTCAACAGTACATGGCTGGTCCCATTGTGCTAAAATTTTAAAGCTAGTCTCAGGTGACCATGTCCAGAAAAAATTACATCCCTGGAGACTAGTCATTATAATTAAAGATAACTTATTAATCAAATAGGGACACTCCATAGCAGGGAGGTAATTTTTTATTATGCAAACAAATATTTATCACATATTTACTATGTACTTGGCGTTGCAGAAGATGTTGGGGTGGCAAAGCCATTGTTACAGAAGCTGTGATGTCCCTCCCACATCCTCAGGCCAACCACCAAGCTCGTGACATTCATTGGATCTTTCCAGGATATTGGCTACTGCTGGAAGTCAGCTTGGTATGGTAATAAAAAAATTTAAAAGGATTGGATGTGTCACCAAGTTGATAGAACAAATGGCTGATAACAATGCCTGAAGGGAGCTGCCCCCTCACCGAGGAGGGACTATTGGATACTTTGATCACTTTAGAATTTAATGTGGTAACAGAGTTGATCTGAAGCTAAAATGAGAATGTGCTTTGTCTCACAGAATGCCTGGATCTGCCTGGACTCTCAACCAAGATAAGTGCAGTGAGATTTATGATGTAGTGTTAAAGTCTGAAACTTCCCTGTCGACCTTCAGTGTTAGCTTCTCTGCTGATGACTTACAATGGGCTAGTAGTTTTGCCAACCCTGTCTTGACTACTTAAAAGCCACTGAGATATTTTACTGGCTGTTGACCCAAAGTCAAGATTTCTGCCACAGTTTTTGGTGGTTCAAGCCAGAGGTAACACCTTAGTGCAGTATATGTGCACAAAGGTTGAACCTGAAGGGACCTTGTACTATGGGATATCTCTTAGATCTCACTTCAGACACTTGCCTGCACTCTCTCTGTCTGCACTATATCCTTCACCTGTAAATGAAAGCCTTATGTGTGTACTCTGTGAAGTCTGATGAGACCTTGCAAATATGCGCACTGAGAAAAACAATACAAATGTCCCTGTGGATCAATGCTAGAAGTCTAAACTACCAGAGCACATTTATGGGGAGATGTCACTGGACAATGGCCACATTCTTGTTCTCTAATCACATTGGCACAATGGATAAAATTGAACATATTTTTTCTTGTTATTGAAGAGCCTGTCCTTGAGAGGGAGCCTGTCTGTCCTTGTGGGGAAAAAGAATGTTTTATAATGATACTTGGAAGCTGATGTCACTGAAAACCTGTGCCATGATGCCTATGGTACAATTACATCAATTATATGGCTTGGTTCTGTGTCTCTACCCAAATCCCAGTGTTAGAGGAGCCTGGTAAGACGTGATTGAATCATGGGAATGTACTTTCCCCTTGCTCTTCTTGTGATAGTGAATGAGTTCTCATGAGATCTGGCTGTTGTGAAAGTGTGTAGCACTTCCCCCCACCACCGTGCCACCCACGTGACGATATGCTTGCTTCCCCTTCACCTTCCACCATGATTGTAACTTTCCTGAGGCCTCCCCAGAAGCAGAAGCTTGTACACCTCACAGAGCCGTGAGCCAATTGAACCTCTCTTCTTTATAAATTATCCAGTCTCAGGTAGTTCTCTATAGCAATGAGAGAATGGACAAATATATTGTATAAAGCAATTAAAATAGAAAATTTACTGAATAATACTCTCTAGTCCCATCCCTATCACTGACTATGGGTAGTACATAGAATAAGGTTATTTCTTTGGGGAAGGAATGGGAAAAGATACTGTAATTTATCTGATTTATGGTGTGTTAAACATTTCTTATATCAATGTGGCTATATGGTGTAACAAGGGGCTATAGATTTATTAATAGAACAAAGTGGAAGTGAATGCATGTAGCTAGTGATCTTCCAGGTTAGAAAAGATTTCATGTGGTTAATCTGAAGTCTTCAGTTGATTTTGATAGCTATGGAAAATAGTATCCAGTGGAAAAAATAAAATTGGCCTTAGAACAACTAAGAACACAATTACATCTCTTAATCAATACATGTATAAATTTTCAAGAAACTGTCAATGATGGAAGAAAAGGATAATTCAGTGGTTAAGAGAGCATCAAAGAATCTGTGAAGAAGGAATATGGTTGCAACTAACATGTCATAGAGAGGAAATTATCACTTTCTATTGGATGGCTCAAATCCAAGACATAATTAGGGATTTAGTAGCTTATTGTTTAATATAAAATATCATGTAAAACAAATTATCCAAAATAGCCAAGAAATATGTGGCAAGGAGATATTAATTAAAGTCAAGTGGGTGGTAAGGACCTGACTCACCCTTTCATTGAAAAGAGATGCCTGAAGAAATGAATAACCTGGACAAAGTACCCTTGCTAACACATAAAAAAATCCTAAAAAGATTACTTTCATAACATATTAATGATATTTAGTAGCATAAAATTTTAGGATTCCCTGTCTATAAAACATACATAGTGTGTCATATCTAGTGTGTCGCAAATGCTTATTAAAAACAAAAAGTAAAAACCCACCTATATATTACGAATATATGTGGCAGGGCTAACAGGATGATGAAAGGTCATCATTAAAACTGCGTAATTAGTGGAATCTCAAATGGAGTCAAACTAAATGGCTTTATTTGTGTAATTGTTTTTCAATGGATTGCTTAAATCTCTCCAGTTAATCTGAAATAAAAAGGAATCCGAGTACAGGAGAAAAATAAATTTTGGAAACTGAATCTGGCAGTATTTTGATCCTTTAGGACAAGAAGTTTTCATCTATTTCTGAGATTTGCCTTATTATTTGAATCATTCCTGAAGATTGGTGTCGCATAAGGTCAGTAATTTCCATTGAGTTTGCTTTGACAATTAAACTATTTGAATTAACACAAAATTGATGTTATGAAACGGATATCTTAAAATTCCACTCAAGAAGAAAAATATATACTATTCAATTAAAGGCCTAAATTTATTAATAGAATTAAGTGAAAAATGAATTAGTACCTTAAAATATACCCACCAGTGTATACACAATTGCACAAAAAATAAGCAGTCTCGCTTATGGAAAATAAGACATGTTCAGCAATAAGCACAATTATAATATAAAGCAACTTATGAAGCAGTTTCAATTAGGGTAAAATTAAAACCCTTTAAAATATTAACAAACCCATTGAATCAACATTAAAATGCACACACAAACATTTAGACACATACATCACACATCATCATGCATCATTGGCTGAATAAATTCTAATGGTGAAGTGAAAGTTGGTTTTACATCAGAAAATATATTAATGCAAGGTAGCATTAATACAAGGTACCTTATATTAAATAAGGTAAAGGAGATATACTATGATCTCATCAATAAATGTATCAAAGATCTTAAAGGTCTTTAATAAATTCAACATAAGTTTTATGAAAATAACTCCCAGAAAATTAGGGATTGAAGTGTATCTACAAAAATACAACAAACAAAAAAAGTATATAAAAGAAATGAAGGGAAAAATCCAGCCAACTAATTATCATTAAAGGATTAAAAGTTTAACTACAAGAATAGGAATTAATCAAAGATATCCACAACTGCCACTTTGCTTTATATTATAGAGGTAGCCAGTACTAGTACAATAAGGTAAGAAAAAAATAAAAGTTAGTACGGACAAGATATAAAGAAGCAAGATTGTTAGGATTTATGGATGATGGAATTATATATGTTGGAAATTAAATAGAACCTACAGAATAACTATTACCATTTCTAAAAAGAGAACACTTTAGCAAGTTTGCTGGGCATACAATCTTCATGCAATAGTTAAATCTGTCAGAACTTAGAAAACAGAATTTAAAAAAAGTTAAATGTATCAAAATATCAACTATCTTTGAAAAATCTAGAAGAATGCTTTATTCTTGATTGACATAAACCTGAAGATGTTTGGGGTTAAAATAATTATGTAACATATATAATTTAATTTATATAAATATGTGTTAATTAATTTATATATAATTTGATTTATATAAAATATAGAAATATATACAGTATTACATGGTGATAGTAATATAATTTAAAATTTTCTGGATGCGGTGGCTCATGTTTATAATCCCAACACTTTGGGAGGCTGAAGTGAAAGGATTCCTTGAGGCCAAGTCTTCAAGACCAGCCTGTGCAACATGATGAGACACTATCTCTCCAAACATATAATTAAAAAAAAAAATCCAGTCATGGTGGCATGTGCCAGTAGCCCCAGTTGCTTGAGACACTGAGACAGGAGGATCACTTAAGCCCAGAATTTCAAGACTGCAGTGAGACATGAGCATGCCACTGCACTTTAACCTGGGTGAAAGATCAACACCCTGAGCCAAAAAAAGAATAAAAATAGGTAAAAATAAAATAAAAATAAACAAATAAGATTACATTACATTTTGGAGAAAAACATTATGATGATACTTAAGGAATCTGAGACTCAAACTTTGTCGCCCAGTAATTTCACTTTTGATTCTGTCCTAGAGGACCATTGAACCTATGAAGAAGCTGTAATTGAGCTTGCTCTGTGAACACTAATTATAAAAATAAAACATGCTAATAAAACCTATTTTCCTGTAATATAAAGACTTTCTAAATAACCTATAAAAAGAAACACTATACAAAAGTTACAATGAATATTGTAGATGTGCATGTATATGTAAATTCTAAAATTTATAATAAATATATAATTTTATAACAGTAATTGCAGAACATATGTTAAATTTTATGCAAATTTATATATTTAATAGTTAAAATAATTTAATGTTTAAAGACCTATAAAATAATAGTATATTTTTGTATGGATTAAACATATCATATATGAGAACATTATAAATATCCATAGAATGGATATACATCAACTTCGGATAATGTTTGCTTCTGGGGAGGGAAAGTGATGAATAGAAGTGCTGTGTGGTAAGGCTTTAGTAGTGTTTGTGTTATTTTACTACTTAAATTTACTAGAGAAAGAATGAAGCATATATGTCCAAATAATTTAATTTAGTAAAGGGTGTTTTTTGCATGTCATATTATATTTTGTATTTTTCATTATTTAAAATAGCTCATAGTGACAAAAGGAAAAATGTCCTTTCTGAATGTATGGCTGGCAAGGATAAACATCTTATATTTGTTTTTTTTTAAATTGATTGATTATACTGATGTATTATAGCATTATTATAAATTTATTTAGATGGCAAATCATCAAATAGCATCCCCAAGAGCAAACAATTTATCTCCCTTTGTTGCTGAGATTTCCTCCAGCTCTCTGAGTTCTTGCCCTTCATAGGGCTTTTTTATGCACTTCTTTATCCTTTGATATTCTGTGTTACTCTAATAGCATTCCCGTTATCTGCTTATTTAATTAGCATTTTTGTCCCCTGTGACTAGTTTCTGTGTTCCTCTAACCAAAGAAGTCTATTTGTCTACTGATAAATGTGCTTACAATATTATTTAGCACCTAATTGGGGCCCCCAAAACATTCCTTAAATGAAAGAGTTGAATAAATATGCATAGATTATCAGCATGATGAATGCATTAATGAAACAAGGAACAAAGTTATAAATTATGGACATTCATGTGCCCACCAAGTGTAATACTTTCTGAAGGCAAGTAGTTGCTGTCACAAACAAATTTACAGGGAATGACGAATGCAAGCACTGCAGATTAGCATGGCTGCCTCAAGTAGCACTGATAATTTAAAGTGTGTGAACAAAATTCCAGTTTCAAAACACATCAAAATACAAATTGATATGCAAGGACTTTCCTGGTCTCAACAAGATAATTCTTTACTGTGTAGCTAAGTGCTAAAACCAAGCTCAGAAATTCAATCTGTGTGATACTGAATTTCAACATCAGTTGAATTCATGGCTTTGCTGTGTCTTTTATGTGACAGTACATGTATCGCTAAGAAAAGAATGAGTATTCAACCATTATGATAACACTTTTGGAAAAACTAAGGGGGCTTAAAATATATGTGATTAAAACCTCAATATCTTTGAATCATTTTTTATGCCTTAGTTTCCTAAAAAAAATTCCCTTTTTATAGTACACATTTAAAAAATTGTTCTACTGCCTTATACTTTACATTTTTGACTGTTGATCAGAATGCAAACTCAACCTAGCTAGGTGGTATAATATAAAATTAACATAAGGAAGATAGGGATTATATTCAACTAGAATTGCAAAGATTTACTAATATGCATAAATGGATAGTTGGGAAATAATCATGGGACTAGAGTTTATAGGTTTGGGGCAAAAAAATGGAGCACAATTTTATCTTGAACCAAACATATATAAATGTGAACGAAATTCTGGTCCTTAATAATTACAATGAAAGGCCATAATGCCCATGGAATAGAGGAGGAAGAATGGCCTTTTGGTAATGTCATCCAGTTACCGACTTCTTCCTATATTTTTCTACTGAGTCTTAATGATTTGCAAATCATTAAGACTCAGTAGAAAAATATAGGAAGAAATGGCATTTTATACCAACAACTTTCCTATGCTTTCTATGGATTCTGAGTGCGAGTTGAAAGAGCTGCAAGTGAAATGGTGTTCCTGGTATCAGCAAGAGTAAGGGAAGCTTAACGTCCCCTATGCCAAATCACAAAATTGAATAATCAGATAAGAGGATAAGAGTATGTAACAAAATAAGCATCAAGGTAGCACAGAATTCAACTCTAATGTAATAATGCTTCTCATCTGCTTCATGGGCAAATGAACCATTTGCTTGCAGTGTTAAAATGTAGTTTCATGTCAAGTATGTCTGTTATATTAGTCCATTTTTATAGGAGTAATTTATAAAGAAAAGAAGTTTAATTGATTCACAGTTCCACATGACTGGGGAGACCTCAGGAAACTTAAAATCATGGCAGAAAGTGAAGGGGAAACAAGAAACATCTTACATGGTGGCAGGAGAGAGAGAGACAGAGTGAGAGGAACCACCACACACTTTTAAACTATCAGAGCTCATGAGAACTGACTAATTATTACTAGAGTAGCAAGGGAGAATTCTGCCCCCATGATCCAATAACTTCCCATTAGGCTCCTCCTCTGACACATGGGGATTACAATTCAAGATGAGATTTGTGTGGGGACACAGAGCCAAACCATCATTCTGTCCCTGGCCCCTCCCAAATCTTATGTGCTTTTCACTCACATCTCAAACAAAATCATACCTTCCCAACAGTCCCCCAAAGTCTTAACTCATTCCAGCATTAACTCAAAAGTACAAGTCCAAAGTCTCATCTGAGACAAGGCAAGTCCTTTTCCCCTATGAGCCTGTAAAATCAAAGACAAGTTAGTTTCTTCCAAGATACAATGAGAGTACAGGCATTGAATAAATGCTCCCACTCCTAACTGGAGACATTCACCAAAATGAAGAGGCTAGAGGCCCAATGCAACTTCAAAACTCAGCAGGGCAGCCATTAAATCTTAAAGTTACCAAATAATCTCCTTTGACTCCATGTCTTTCATCCAGGGCATGCTGATGCAAGAGGTGGGCTCCCAAGGCTTTGGCAGCTCTGTTCCTTTGGCTCTGCAGAGTAGTCTCTTTGGTGCTTTCACTGGCTGGTGTTTAGTGCCTGTGGCTTTTCCAGGTGCATGGTGCAAGTTGTCGGTGTATGTACCATTCTGGGGTCTGGGGGACAATGGCCCTCTTCTCACAGCTCCATTAGGCAGAGCCCCAATGGAGACTCTGTGTGTGGGGTCCAACCCCACATTTCCCCTCCACACTGCCCTGGTAGAGTTTCTCCATGAGTGCTCTGCCTCTGCAACAGACTTCCGCTTGGACATCCAGGCATTTCCATACATCCTCTGAAATCTAGGCAGAGATTGCCAAACTCCTGTCTTCTGTGTGCCCACAGGCCCACCACCACATAGAAGCCACCAAAACTTGGGGTTTGCACCCAGTGAAGCAATGACCAGAACTGTACCTTGGCCCCTTTTAGCTATGGCTGGTGCTGGAGTGTCTGGGACAAAGGATGCCATGTCCCAAGGCTGCACAGAGCAGCGTGGCCCTGGGCCTGGCCCATGAAACCATTTTTTTTTTTCCTAGGCCTCAGCTACAGTGATGGGAGGGGCTGCCACAAAGATCTCTGAAATGCCCTAGGGACATTTTCTTCATTGTCTTAGCTCCTCGTCACTTATGCAACCTTCTGCAGCTGGTTTTAATTTATCCCCAGAAAATGGGTTTTTATTTTCAACTACATAGTCAGGCTGCAAATTTTCCAAACTTTAATGCTCTGCTTTCCTTTTAAACATAAGTTTCAATTTCAGAGCATCTCTTTGTGAACACACATGACTGTACACTTTTACAAATAGCCAGGTTACCTCTTGAATGCTTTGCTGCTTAACAATGTTTTCCACCAGATACACTAAATCTTCTCTCCCAAGTTCAAAGTCCCACAGATATCTAGGACAGGGGCAAAATGCAACAGTGTCTTTGCTAAAGCATAACGAAAGTGACCTTTACTCCAGTTACCAATAAGTTCCTCATCTGCATCTGGGACTACTTCAGCCCGGACTTCATTTTCCATATATCACTATCAGCATTTTGGTCACAACCATTCAAGTCTCTAGGAAGTTCCTAACTTTCCCACATCTTTCTGTCTTCTTTTGAGCCCTCCAAACTGTTCCAACCTATGCCCATTACTCAGTTCCAAAGTTGCTTCCACATTTTCAGATACCTTTATAGCAGTGCCCCACTCTCTCGGTACCGATTTACTGTATTAGTCCATTTTCACACTGCTGTAAGGAACTACCTGAGATTGGTTAATTTATAAAGAAGAGAGGTTAGTTGACTCAAAGTTCCACATGGTTGGGGAGGCCTCAGGAAACTTATAATATTGCCAGAAGTTGAAGGGGAAGTAAGACACATCTTATATGGTGGCAGGAGAGAGAGAGGGAGAGAACTGCAACACACTTTTAAACCATCAGATCTAATAAAAAGTAACTCATTATCACAAGAAGAGCAAGGGGAAAATTCACCCCTGTGATCCAATTACATCACACAAAGCACCTCCCTTGACATGTAATTATAATTTGAGATGAGATTTAGGTGGGGGCACAGAGCCAAACCATATAATCTAGGATCTCAGATTTTGTATTTCTAATGACTCCCAAGTGATGCCCATCTGGTTGTCCTTGGGGCCTGAGTATCAAGGTCTTATTCAAAGTTGTCTCTGTCTAAAGTTAACCAAATATAACCTTCTGAGAAATAACACACTAAAGCTTTTCTGAGGATAGCACACCAAAGCTTTACTTGATTTATTCAATAAAAACTTTTATAAACTACCTTTTGAATCCAATAGACAAAAACACCTGACATCATTCTCCTCATGATTGCTGATGTGAAGAGTTTCATATACAGTGGTCCTGACCTCATCCAATTTCAAAACCAATCGATCAGTTTATAAAGGGATGGCAGCTTGAATAAAAGGAAGGCACATTCCTTGTTATAATACCCCATATTCATAGCATTCATTTTCCTAGTCCCCCTTAGTGATGATATCCGTGGTTATTTACTGTGGAAAGAATCTTCAACTTTTTACAGACTACTAAATCTCTATTTATGTGACACTTAATCTCTACACATCCAGAAGCATCATAGGCCAGTATGCAGAGTGGCATTCAGGAATGTAGATGATTAATGTATTTTTATTTGAATTGACTTCACAGTCAGTCCACTGAGGCCCAGAACTCATCAAGTAGTTATTTCCCTTGTTCCTGAGTCTAAGATTGGGATTGCTATCCTCAGCAACTGGAACAATTCCCCCAGTACCTTTCTAACCTATAAAGTAAGAACTGTCATAGTAAGAAGACCCAACTGAAAGGTATTTTACCTTCATTTTTCTTGTCCAATGGTGCATCAAAAGCAGGAATGAATCTCTGGAGAAATGGCATAAAACAGAATCACTATCAAAGATTTGAAATCAAGTTCAGAAGCTTAATGACATAGTGTTATTATAAATTTACATAAATGGTAAATTTAATCTAATCGCTATTTTAGATGTGATATGCTTACTAGAACAAATTAACACAAACTTGACACTTATATATGCAGCTTTTATATTATGAAGGCATTTTATGCTGATTTCAAAAAGAAACATAATCAGGTAGCTTTCACTAAGAACAGTGGTGTGTGTGGCTTTACAATTCTTTCTCACAAATAGATTTTTTTGCTTCAAAAAGCAAAACTTTTGCCTTTTTGCTTCAAACTAAATAAGCTATTTTCTTATGCCAGAGCAAAAAAAAAAAAAAAAAAAAAAAAACCCAGAAAGAATGAGGTAGCAAAGACTCTAGATGTCTTGTTAAGATCCGTGTAAAACTGATGGTAGTAGATACATTTCACCAAAATGACAAACCTTTGTCATACTAATGAGGCATCCAGGAGTCCAGACATCTAGGAACAAAATAAGGCTTGCAAACTCCAGGAAAATTTGCCCCACATTTTAGCACCTTACAATTAGGAGTGAGAAATAGCACTGGGTGAGCCACACAGCTAGTCTTCTTTCCACCAATATACATTACTTCATGGATATTTTCTATAACTAATACACACACACACACAAATTAAAAGTCTGAAACATGGTATATAAAAGACTGTAAATAGAGGTACTATGGAGAATTACATCATCATGATGTGAACACTCACTCAGTATTGGCATTGAAGGGCTATAGAGTAAGAAAATCCCCCAGGAGCCAACCCTTTCATCAGTGAATCTATGTATCAAATGCACCCTGAAAGAGAAATGGATTGAGGTCAGCACCTCCACTTTTTGTTTGTCAGCTCCAATACTCTGGGTAGATGGGGAAGGATTATTAAGAAGCAAAAATGGATGACTTTTGAATAAGGGAACCTTTTGAGGAAGAACTTCTGTAATCAAAATCCAGAAGATATTGTTTCTTATGTGAAAGGCCCAAAATCCTTCTATGGCAGAAGTTCTTTGTAATTCCCACCAGAATGCCATAATGACTAATTCTGTAGCTGTCGAGCATCTATCTTCCAAGAGTGACCAATGACTGTTCTTGCACTCATGATCAAAGCTGCCATTGTGTCAAGAATGCAGATTATGCATGAGTTTGACAATATAAAGTTCCTCAAATAAATCCAACCTGGTGCCATTGCTACTGTGTGCTCCATTTGCCTGTGAAAGCATCTTAGTCTAAACTTCCAATAACTCGCCAGTAAGAAATTAGCAGTTATCTGTTGGTAATTTACTTATAGTGACTCTATTTTAGGGAGGAATCTTTCTGTTGCAGCTTACAATTATATATGCAGAAATAGAATTTATTAGCTCATGATATTGAAAATTTTGTAGGTAGACCTATTTTCAAGTGTATCTGATTTCTCTTGCTTATGCAATGTTACCAGATATCTATACATGTTTAATCTCGTAGCTCTTTGTTGATTTTATTCTCAGGCATCTCTTCAAGTAGAGCTAAAAACGGTCAGTTGGCAGCTAACACAGTACTTCAAGTTGAAGATTGCTGAGAAGATATGTGGTTCTTCCAACTATGGAATTAATTTCTATGGCTGAATTTCCTTGCTGTGTCACTTTCCCTTGAGTAAATCTCTATCCAGGGAAGTGTAATTCCTGGCTGGGCAAGCCTGGAAGGATTCACCATTGTGACAATGATGTGAGTTAACAGACTGGTAAGCCTGGCAAAAATCACTGCAGTGGGAGAGGAGCAGTTTCTAAAATAAAAATTAATAAACCAAAGATAAAATTAGAAACAAATATTAGATATAAAAGGAGTGATTTATTCACATTGGGGCAGAAACTCAGTCTTTATTTAGATTTTCACTCTCAACTTGCTTTTTCTCTGAAATAACTTCAAGCTTACTACATGTCTTAGGTATGCCCTCATATTTTATATAATATTCCTTTTGAGCAAGAAACCGAGTTAAATGAAAATAATTAAAATAAGAGGTCAATGAAGAATTCATGATATTTTCAATGACTCTATCTTTCAGGGTAGTTGATATTATAGAACAGGAATTACGTGTTTAGATATGGTCACTTCTGCAGTTAGGATGCAGCCCTGGATGATGTAGTCGAGGAGCTGAATCAGTGATCGATGTATGATTATAATTTCCCTACCAGTTAGAGCGTGAGAGCCTGGAAAACTAGGGTTGTAGTCATGGTTGGTGCTAATAATGATTGCACCTAACGACCACTAAATATTTTGTTTCCTTTCTGTGTATTCATTTCTGCAAAATCTAACCTTCTGCCTGCTTTGTAAATGAAGTTTTATTAGAACACAACCAGTTATTCCACTAAGGTGGAATCTAGGAATGGCATTCTGGGCCTCTCTCTAAAAGCATGAGCAAAAAAGAGTTACTTAGTTTTCTGTAGTAACTAACTACCAAGGGGAATTGAGGTTACAGGTACACATTGGAGACCAGAAAACATACTAATGGAAATCCAGAAATAAACAATTCATAAGTTTTAATTGCACACCATTATGGGTAGTGTGGTGAAATCTGACTGGAACATCCGTTTGTCCAGTGTATTCACACTGTATACACACCTGCCCTTTACCCCTTAATAGCCACCCTGGTTGTCAATCTACTGTTGTGATATCACAGTGCTTGTGCTCAAGTAACCCTTTTTTTTTTTTTAGTTGGAGTCTCACTCTCTCACTCTCTCACCAGGCTGGACTGCAGTGGCATGAACTCGGCTCACTGCAAACTCTGCCTCCCAGGTTTAAGCCATTCTCCTGCCTCAGCCTCCCAAGCAGCTGGGACTAGAGGCTTGTGACACCATGCCCAGCTAATTTTTTTGTATTTTTAGTAGAGACGGGGTTTCACCATGTTAGCCAGGATGGTCTCGATTTCCTGACCTCGTGATCTGCCCGCCTTGGCCTCCCAAAGTGCTGGGATTACAGGTGTGAGCCACCACGTCCAGCCATAACCCTTATTTTACTTGTTAATTGCCCCAGAGCACAAGAGTAGTGATGCTGGCAATTCCAATATGCCAAAGAGAAGCTGTAAAGTGCTTCCTTAAACTAAAAAAGTGAAAGTTTATCATAAGTATGTATTATAGAAAAGAAAAAAGCATAACATATACAGAGTTTGGTACTAGCTTTAATTTCAGGTATCCACTGACAGTCTTGGAATGTATCATCCCCCATGAATCCAGTGGGACTACGGTACTTGAATCAAAGTAGGCACTCAATGAACATCCATTGAAGAACTAATTAAACAATGGTGATGATTCTTTTTTCATCTGTACTACTTAAATCTTCAGTGAACCCCAACTTTCTCAAGCCATTCTCACTAGATCTTAAATGTGTTTCAGGGAAGTGATTTAGTATTCAGTGCTATATGACAAGATCCATTGTCTCCATTAATGTATATATAGAGAAAATAACAATTACCTCTCTACTATCAGCATAGTCTCAGATGATTCTGTTACTAATCAATTACTTTTGGTTTGAAAGACTGCAGCTTTTCCTATCTGCTGTCATCTATCTGCCAATATATGTTATCCTTTCCTTAGTGGGCTTTTGCTTAAAAACACTGGCATCTTCTAATTTCCACAGTCTTAAATTTATCTGGCTGAGAGAGAATCTCTTTGTAGTAGAATTTAGTGCCTAGATAAAACAATAGGTTGGATTATTTACTCTCTATAATCTCTTCTTCCATCTGATAATGAGGGCTGAGCTTCATTTCTCTTTAGGTCTGGATTATTGTAATTCAGATAAAGTTGGATGGAAAGGAAACAACTCTCTTGTAATCTCAGCTGTCCTCAAGAAGTGCCTTAAGGAAGATATGAATGTGGAGAAGCAAATGTTGGATATTTTGCTAAACTTGTTTCCTGGGGTAGAAGTTCTTAAAATGTAGTTTGGAGACCTCTGGGGTTCCCTGAGATTTTACAGAAGGTTTGCAAGGTCAAAAGTCTTTTTATCATAATAAAGATACTATTCAGCTTTTTTTACTTTAATTCCCTCATGACTGTACAGTTGAGTTTTCTGGAGACTACATGATATATTAATTCACAAAAGATTAGATACAGAAACAAATAGAAGATTCCAGATGTCTTCTATTAAGCCAGACATCACAGAAATCTGCAAAAATGGAAAACAATGTCAACTTTTTTTTCTGGAAAATATTGCCACTTTTTATTAAATACTTTTAATTAATATCATTTTGATTGACAATTCATTGTGGTATATATTTAATGAGGTATAATGTGATTTTTGTGACACATGTATCAAATATGGAATAATAAATCAAGCTAATAATCATGTGCAACAGATCAAATACCATTTTTGTAGTGAGACATTTGAAATTTGCTCTCTTAATTATTTTAAAATATATAATACATTGTTACTGGCTATAGTCACTATGCTGTGCAAGTGATTAAGATCTAAAAACCTATTTTTCTTGTCTCTCTTAAACTTTGGGTACTTTTTGACCAACAAGTTTCCCCTTCCCTTCTTCTCCCTCCCAATTAACCTCTGGCAACTATCATTCTATAGTTCTACTAGTTCCACTTTTTAGATCCCAAACATAAGTTAGATCATGTAGTATTTGTCTTTCTCTGTCTGACTTATTTCACTTAGCCTAATGTCCTTCAGGTTTGTATTAGTCAGGGTTCTCTAGAGGGGCAGAACTAACAGGATAGATGTATATATGAAGGGGAGTTTATTAAGGAGTATTGACTCACACAATCACAAGGTGAAGTCCCACAATAGGCCAATCTGAGTCCCAAAACCTCAAAAGTAGGGAAGCCAACAGTGCAGACTTCAGTCTGTATCTGAAAGCCTGAGATCCCTAGCAGATCAATGGTGTAAGCCCAAGAGTCCAAAAGCTGAAGAACTTGGAGTCTGATGTTCAAGGACAGGAAATATCCAGCACAGAAGAAAGACAAAAACTGGAAGACTCAGCAAGTCTGCTTTTTCCACCTTCTGCCTGCTGTGTTTTTGCCATGCTGGCAGCTGATTAAATGGTGCCCACCTAGACTGAGAGTGGGTCTGTCTCTCCCAGTCCAGTGACTCAAATGTTAATCTCCTTTGGCAACACCCTCACAAACACAACCAGGAAAAATACTTTGCATCCTTCAGTCTAATCAAGTTGACACTCAATATTAACTATCATAAGTTTCATCTGTGTTGTTGCAAATGATAGATTTTTTTCCTCTTTATTGAGGCTGAATAATATTCCTTTGTGTACACATACCATACCACATTTTCCTTATTCATTCATTGGGTGATAGCCACAGGTTGATTCCATGGCATAGCTATTTTGAATAATGCTGCAATAAACATGGGAGTACAAGTATCCTTTTAAAGTATTGATTTTAATTCCTTTGAAAATATTCCCAGAAGTGGGATTGCTTTTGTTAATATGTAATGTGTTTATTGTTATTTCAAATAGATTGAGATATGCATATTTGGAAAGGTTTCAGTTTTAATTTCTAAATAATAATTATCAATAGATATTATGTGCATAAACAAAAGCTCTTTGGCTCTCTTTAGCTTCCCAACAAATTTTACAACTGTGCAAAGGGGTCTAAGAAAGAGAAAAATAAGAGAGAGAGAAAGAGAGGGAGAAACAGAATGGCTGCCAAGGAGAGCTTGGGAATTCAAAAGAGGTGGTGTGGGAGCCTAAAAAAAAAAGCATAAATTATGGTATCAGAAACCCAAGACTATCTAGCTTAAATGCTTTATAAAACAACCAACCTCAAATTTCTTATTCTGCAAGATTTTCATGTACTATATTATATTCACAAAATCTTCTTCTCCAAGCTCTTACCACCTCACATGTCTGTTTTGTCATTATACTTTTCTACTGTTGGTTCATCCTGTTTTGTTTTTCTTTTCATTTTTCTTTCTGCAAGTTTCCTTTGCCTTATTAGTAAATTAATAGTATTCTTGAAGACATGGAAGTCAGACAAATGTAGGTTAAGGCAAATGGAAATTGAAATTTTTAAAATTTCCATATTAAATTTATGGGCCATTTTTAAAATTTTCTATTTCTGACAGAGCCATTAGGTACTGAAAATATTCTAATTTATATTGCTTATCATTACATTTTGCTTTAGCTTAACTAAAAACATCCTTATTTACCATGAAAAGGCCATGCATATTATGATATCTTAAATTTAAAGTATTTCTTTAGCTAGCAGAGTGTGGGTGATCTGTTAATAAAATAAACCATTTTGGATGTATTCTTGGGGAATAAAGCATGCCTAAATCCCACATGTGATTTATCATCTATTGCTTGAATCTGGCTTATTTTAGGGAAGACAATGTGCTAAGGAGATAATAATGATTTCTACATGTGTTTTGCTGAGACTAATATAAACATAATTTAAATTATAGCCATAAACCTTTTCAGGTTAAAAAATACATTCTATCATGATTATTTCATCATCATCCAAATTTCTCTTTCTAACTTCCCTTGGGACTATGGTGTATTATCATAGAAATACTGCACCAACCAAAGCTCGCACAGACTTCCATAGGAAGTCTAGCAATAGCAATGCAGTGCAATCTGTATTTTCATATGCAATAACCATTAATTCCCCTCCTACATTATCATTATGTATAATGAGAGGCAGCCTCTCATTATATGTCTCTATATATGTAAATATATGTATGGATAGATGTATTTTGTATGTGATATTGTATTATATAAAACATTATATACATACATATATATTACCCTATACTGTTTTTGGCAGAGAGTGTAATTTTCACCCTTCTTAACTCAAGATTGATAATTTACCTATTATTATTTATTCAATATTTCAATTGAGATTTCTCCTAAGGGAGAAAATACTCCTGTAATTCTTTGAAAATGTACCAAATATACTATCATTTTTCATAATTAAAAACACTTATCATAATCATATAAAGAATTCATTCAAGGTCTCTGGCAGAGCCATGCACACAACATTAATATACTTAACGCTAAGTTTGCAGTATGCAATTGACCTTCTTGAGATTTAAGCCTATGACTGCATTTCATTATGATTTTTATGGTGAGACCAAGAGCCCCTGAAATAATCTCTTCTAGCCTCAAATTGTTCTATCACTCAAAAATGTGCCCAGAAAGGAAGAACAAACAGAAAAAAACCTCAAACACACTCCTCTGGATTGGTGTAAAGTATTAAATTATTGGTGAGTTGATATCAACCTAGCTATTGTTAAATAGAAATACATCCTTTCTTAATGGCTAAAATGTTAATGAAACATTTAGTAAAATAATTTTATAAATACAGTGGACAGTAAGGACTTTTAAGGGTGTTTTTGGTGGCTAGTGTACTTCCCTTAAAGAATTATGTCTGTGGCTTGGCGCGGTGGCTCACTCCTATAATCCCAGCACTTTGGGAGGCCGAGGCGGGTGGATCACCTTGGGTCAGGAGTTCGAGACTAGCCTGACCAACATGGAGAACTGCCATCTCTACTAAAAATACAAAATTAGCCGGGCATGGTGACGCATACCTGTAATCCCAGCAACTCGGGAGGCTGAGGTTGTGGTAAGCAAAGATCGCACCATTTCACTCCAGCCTGGGCAACAAGAGCAAAACTCCGTCTCAAAAAAAAAAAAAAAATATGTTTGTGTGTTTGTTTAAAATCTCACCACATCATGAGATAATTGGTTGAACACAATAGGCACTGACTTCATCTTAGACGTTTTTGAAAATTTTAGGCCGTAGTGTATAGTGAATCAGAAATAACTAAAGAATTATTGAAACTGATTCCCAGTATCAGTCATAAATGTAAACTGTTTTAGAAATAAACAACTTTTCCTTAAAATTCATGATAAGGGATGAGCTTGTGAAGATGGCAATTATTAAAAAATAGTTTTTTCAGTGTCCTAGGTGAAAATGAGCAATTATCGAGCTATAAAAAGCTATGAAACATGGGACAGAGAAAGCCAGATTTTCTTTTCTCCATCTGTATAAGGGAGGTATAAGTAATTATTTCTGACTTATTTAGCAAATTATAATTACTTCAAAAAACAACGTATCAAAAGCAAAATTAATTATACTTTTTGGATTTAATTTTAATTTTAATTTTAATTTTTTGTAGAGATAGAGTCTTGCTATGTCACTATGTTGCCCAGGCTGGTATTGAACTCCTGAGCTCAAGGGATCCTCCTGACTCAATCTCTCAACTGGCTGAGACTAAAGACGCATGCCAGCACACCCAGCCAACATTAATTCTGTTTTGATGATTAAGATGCATTGTGTAAGACTGTGAGTGTAATTTGTAAATTGACCTTAGAAATATCTAAGTACAACTTCTAGCTTTATTGCTTAATAGCAATGTGATGAGAATCAATTTCCTCATTTATAAGGGGCAAGGAATAATATCTACATTTTGTAACTTCTAAGAGTGTAACACATACACAGAATATATACATGGAAAGAGAGAGAGAAGGAAAGAGAGAGAGAGAAACTAGCATAATAGTAGTGTAGTAGCAGTGGTATAATTATTTCTTTTATTATCAGTTTCACTAAAATTTGAAATTATAATTGGCATTGTAATAAAATTGATAAAACAATAAATGGGAGTAACTATATGAAATTATCTACCACCGTTCCTACATATTATGTGCTTAATATACATTAGTTGAATTATTAGAATATTTGAAGCTTTATTTTAAGCTTTACTTTTTTAAAATGTATAATTTACATCAAATGAATAAATTGGTTCAATAGCAATGAGTAATAACAACACTGGCACCAGTAAATTTTAAGTACCTCATCTGGCTTAAGAAGAAGGATATTTCATGTCTAGAGAGCCCTGTGTACTCTTTTTATATGATATCTTCCCTATATATAATCCAGAGTTAACTTTTTTTATCCAGATAATAAAAAAATCACTCTGGATATTATCATTTTCTTCCTTTTCTTTACAGTTTTGCCTGTATTTAAACATTATGTAAATGCTATTATTCCGTGTGCATTTTTCTTAGGCTTTTTAAAACAATGAACATTGCATTTTAATGGTTCATCTATCTTGATGTATGTAGTCATAGTTCATTAGTTTTTACCACAGTATAAATATTCCATTGTAAATCACAATTCATCAATCCTTTTTCCTTGTAATATGTTTTTTCCAGTTGGTTTGTTTATTTTGTTATCATATACTCTTTCTGGTAGACATATGATGATTTATCTCATATACCTAGAAGTGAAATTGCTTTTACGACTTATAGCCTGTTTAACTTTAATAAAGAATGTCAAATTTTCGTGCAAGTAAGTGGTACCAATTTACAGGCTCATCAGTGATGTGTACATATTTCTTTTGTTTCATATCTCACTAATGTTTTGAATTAAAAGATTGCTTATTTTCAAATATTCTGAGTGTGTAAGAACATATCATGAGCACTTAATATGCATTTTCTTAGGCTCAGCTCAGTATGCTTTTATATGTTGCTAATCTATTCATTTTTTTCATCATCTTTGAAATGTGTATTTTTGCCTTCTTAATTTTTTATTGTTAAGTTTTAATTTTACTCTACGTAGTTGAAATTGTGCTCTATTCAGCTTGAGATATAACTATTATTTCAATATAATTTAAGCAATTCATTGTGTAACTATAGTTGCTGTCCTCCAGTAGATCAGACGGTTAGGAAAGATCAGTTTGTTCAGGGTTTTTTTGTTTTGTTTTGTTTTGTTTTGTTTTGTTTTGGGGGTGGGACAGAGTTTTGCTCTTTTTGCCCAGGCTGAAGGGCAGTGGTGCGATCTTGGCTCACCACAACCCTCCTGGGTTCAAGCGATTTTCCTGCCTCAGCCTCCCGAGTAGCTGGGATTACAGACGCCCCACACCACGCCTGGCTAATTTTGTATATTTAGTAGAGACCAGGTTTCTCCGTGTTGGTCAAGCTGGTCTCGAACTCCTGAACTCAGGTGATCTGCCTTCCTTGGCCTCCCAAAGCGCTGGAATTACAGGCGTGAGCCACCATTCCTGGCCAGATCAGTTTTACAATCTGTTTGGTTTCAGCAAGAAAGAAACAAAATAATAATTGACTCTCCACAGGCATATTTGGTTTTCAAAGCTGTTTCATAAGCCTGAATCATAAACCGGACTCACATTAGCTTTAAAAGACACAACACGATCATCTAAACAAAGGGCCTGAAAAGCAGCCTGTGATAGATAAGTGACTCTTGTAACAACTCACATCTACTAGAAGTGGAAGGGTACATGACAGCAAGATGCCTGCCAGGGCCAAGTGCTGAACTGACATGAGATGACACAGGGGTCCAGGCAGACTATATTCTTCTAAGGACATGCCAAAATGAAGCGTGACTTCAGATAGATAGAAAACCCTAGGAAATAATAAAAGACCAACTTACGACTGAGGTAGTTCTCAAAAATCATACAAGTCAGAAAGAAAGTGTGACTTCAATAAATATTAGCAAGATTTGTAGCATTTGTTTGTAGAAGAAAGGTTTATTCATCTGTCTTTTCAAGCATGAATGTGTACATTATACATTTTCTGTTTTTTATTTTTTTTATTTTCCTTTTTTTATTTCAATTGGTTTTAGTGGTGTTTGGTTACAGGAGTAAGTTTTTTTAGCGGTGATTTCTGAGATTTTGGTGCACATATCACCAGAGCAGTGTACACTGTACCCAGTGTATATAGTCTTTTATCCCTTATCTCCCTCCCAAAACATTTTATCTTTTGAATATATAAAAATTGCTTTCCCTTTTGAGATATTTTCCGTTTATTTATAAGGCATGTTTCCTCACTGTTATGCAAAGTAACATCTACTTAAATTTATTTTAGACAAAATATTCAGTATTTCTGAAAACCATCCTGGAACACTGGTCTTTTAATACTTGTTAATGATTAATCAGGTCAGTGATAAGACTGTCTTCTTTACCTGGCAGTAACAGTTTATCTTTTCAGTAAATTCATTTTCTCTTTTGGAAAAGTGACAAGGAGCACGTTTACATCCCTTATGGTTAATGGCTGTTATCAGTCTAGGTTTATAGATAATGGATTTTCTTCTAAATACTCTCAAGGGTGATCTTTATTGTCACTGTTTCCTTTGCTGTCATCTCTTGAATTTGGATATGATTGTTGGAATTATACCAGTGCAGCAGTAAAATTTCCTCATGCTATTTTTAGCATGTCTAAGATTTTATCATATTATATACTGATGATATTATCAAATAAATATGTGATATTCTACCAAAATATTCGTGAAAGCTATAGAAGTATAGAAACCTACATAATAATAGCAAAAGTAAATCTTGTAAAGTTATTTTTCATGGTATTGAATGAAATAATGCTTTCAGTATTAAAAAATGACAAAGAATGTAAAAGTTACATTTACAGTATTGTTTCTTAGTTAAATATTTTTTTCATTGAGTGGAAAATGAAAGTAGAGGAGACTGTAATCTAATTCACTGTTTCAATCTTAATATAAACGACTTGAGAAACCATAGAGATATGTCTATTTTTTTTACTTTCTCAGTGTATTTCATTAACCAAACTTCTTGCATATATACATTATGCATGGCACAACATTATCTTTTTAATAGTAATCTCTAAGGATTCAGGCTGACAAATATTTTTTCATGGAAATCTCATGGTATAGTGTCTGCGAATTTCCAGATAAAAACATAAACCTGTAGTACAACAAATGCAATATTTCATAAGATATAAGCAGAGAAATGTTACTGAATGTAATAATAAAATTATTTAGAAATAACCTCAGTGTTTTGAGAGAGGTTTATTCTAAAATACTCTAGATTAAATATATTTTAAAGTGAATCCTGAATATTCTGATTCAAATAATGTCACGTTCTTTCCTGGTATCCTGCTAGAGTGGTGCGTAGCTTTATTCACTGATTATTTTTAAAATATGACTTCTACTCTCTTCTGTGCCTGAAATGTAACAGCCTTGACATACAATATGATCAGAGGTGGATCCTTTTGATAGTGGTATTGCTGACCTCAATTTGTTTTAGCCCTAATATTTTATGTTGGGATATGCATCTGGATTTTAGTCACATTTAAGTTTGTTGAGTGGGGGAATGCAGAAATTGATACGCAGTTTCAACAAACATTCTAAGTTATGATTTTTTAAAGAAAATTTAAATTTTAACTAAAAGTATATTCGTTTTCATATCACACTTTAATAAGACTGAATTTTGTGTAAAAGTTTAATAAATCCTAATTACTTTAGAAATATTATTACTTTAATTTGTGAATCAGGTTGTGAAAGCACAGGTTTCGAAATTACTCAAGCCAAAATGTAAGTCATTAGCCTTGACATACCTAGTCTTACAATAACTGGAAGTACACCAAACAACCCAAGATATTATTCACAGCATGAAGATCATAACACGTGACACATAACACAAAATATTATTCACAGCATGAAGATCATATGAATTAACAAGTGATATATTTACTATTATAATGAACGAGGGAATCTGAATATATGAAAAACATTAAATTTCAAGTTTTTGTATTACTGTGAAATAACATTTTAATACATAAGGGTCCATAAAAATACATTCAACTCTTCGTAATGAAAAACTTCTATTTTGTATGGATTAATAAATGCATGTCACTCAAGCATTTTACTGTGGAAGAATATGCGTATAAAATAAAATCAGTTTGTAATGACAAAATATTCAAAACATAAGCTATTGTTTCACATATGTTTCACATATCCAAAAATATGATTATGAATGATAAAGATACTATTACTCAGTCTAATACAATGTCACTTAGTCTTTATGAATGATATAATGATCTAATTTTAAATTAGGAATGTACAGTAATCTGCTTTTTATCAGGGCTATTTGTGGGTTTAATTCCTGAGCGTTTAACTTTCATATGACCTAGCATATTTTTATAACCTATTTCAAGGAAGCACGAGCTACAATACACACAATTCTGAAGGACAATTGGGAAGTCATTAAGCAGAACTCTTAATTATTTAAACACTGGGGGATGCCATTCAGGTCTCTACAAAACGTGTCACTCAATTTGTAAAGGCCAAATGACTGCAGATGTGACAGAACTCAGCCTTTCAGATAGACAGGGAAGAATCACAAGTTAAAAAAAATGTCCTGATAGTGTCTGTTCCAAGACAGCAATCTCTAAAGTTGAGTTCATAAATCCTGACTTGTTTCAGGTCCTTGTGCTCCATTCCCCCACCTCTGGACCTAGGTGGGGATTTTCAGAGATCTTTAGTCCATTACTTCAGGACCAACATTTTATAGTGACTGATAGAATCCAGAAGTGATGCCAGGCTGGTCAATATCTCCACTAGCCACTTTCTGTAGTTTCTACTATTAAATGGAAACGAGAGGAGAAGAAGTAGAGGAAAGTACTTTTTCTTCTTTTTATCTCCAATATTTGTATTTGTATTTTTTTAAATTGACAAATTAAATTGTATGTATTTATTGTATACATCATGGAGTATATACATTATGGAATGAATAAATATAGCTAATTAATACATCCATGTAGGGTCAATGCACCTCACAGCAATAAGTTAAGCATACCCTGAGAATGATCCTGTATGGAAGACACCTGAATGTGTGTCCTGAGATAGGAAATTTGAGAGTGGCCCACTTAGAGGTTCGTTCCTTTTCTACAGGGAACATCTGAACCCCTGACCCCTCCCCTGGAACATAAGCTGTACAGGGGGATCAAAGCCCAGAGTTTTGGGTTGAATGAGGATTGCCAGGTGGAGGTTGTTTGTGGGGGTGGGGTGCTAAGTAAAAATGCTGTATAAATTGCATGCTTTTTGCAAGCAGTTGAGTTTTCCTGCCCAGCCAACCACCACTGGACATTTTCCCCTGTATATAAGCCCCTCAGTAAAACCCTATGTCTCTTTGCTGCTATGGATCTCTTCTTCAGTCCCTTGGACCTACTGCCATCCCCACTGGAGTTGACAGGGGTTTGGCACAACAATGCCTTACCTCACTTGTTATCATTTTTTGTGATGAGAATACTTTTACATCCATTCTTAGCATTTTTCAAGATGATGTATTGCTAACTACAGTTACCATGAATATATCTCTTGAAATTGTATCTCCTATCTAACTGAAATTCTGCATCATTTGGCCAACATCTTTCCACCACCACGTTCCCAGTTCCTGGTAATCAACATACTACTCTCTACTTCTATGAGATTAGCTTTTTTAGATTCCATGAATAAGATCATGTGATATTTATTTTTCTGTGCCTGCCTTATTTCACTTAACATAATGTCATTCAGGTTTATCCATATTGTCTCAAATGACAGAACTTCCTTTTCTTATGACTGAATAGTATTACATTCTGAATATATACTGCAATTCTTTTAAGTATATTTGTATTAGAAAAGGAAGTTGTATTCATTAAGTTGAAACATTCTAATTTGTGTTATTTTGAAGAGGGTATAGAATTATTCTTTCTGGATCAGAAATGGAAAGTTATACTCCACAACTTTTTTCCTATTTTGACGTTTGTTTGTGTATTTTGAAATATATGTTAGATTCTAAAGGCATTACATTTAATGTATTTTTATATGTAAATGGAAGCAGAAAAGAAGGCTATAAAAGGAGCCATAGTGTCTATCCCTGCATTTGTGTAATCTTTGGAGGCTTAACTTTACAATCTAATCTCAAAAGTCATGGCTATGCTCAACTGTGTTTTTGTGTATGTGTTTTTGTGGTACTTTTGCTTTTTTAGGCTATGAAATAATTAGCTTGTATTCTAGAAATTCTAAAGTCTCCTGTGTTCTAAAATTTTATAGATCTAATAAATCTTCTTACGAGACTACTGCCAAGTGCATATAAAATCTCTTGATATTTTGCTTATAGTGACTGTTCTTTTTGCTGCTAAACGGAACTCTGTCATGGACTCCTGTGTGTGCAGGTATGTTTATTTTATAATTTTAGTAATCATTACAAATAAAAGTTTAGTTTTACAAAGTGGTTTCAGCTATTTAGGAAAGTTTTGACATTCATTATCATGTTTTGTCATTGAGTTTAGCATCTCTTTTCAGTTGGAAACTGAGAAATGTATATAATAATGGTCCATTATCCTATGGAGGAATTCACTTTCTCTGTAAACAAATAAAGATCTAATTATCACAAAAATAGAAGAATGAACACTCATAACATCGACTTAGGAGATAGGCTTTCCTAAGTCCTATCTTTTCTTTTTTAATTTGGAAGAGATACTTGCCTATTAGGTAATTGTCATTACATTGAGGGGCTGAATAGATGCTAATAAAAGCATATAGCCAGCACAAACAAGAATGATTTTATATTTTTGTATTTACTTTGTAAAGTCACACTGCAACTCTTCTGCATTGATCTAAGATTTCCTTGAATAATCTGAAGATCTTGCTTCAGGGTTAATTGTTTACCTGTTGTCTTCAGAAAGTTATTGCTTTGGTCATCTAGCATTGTGATTGTTGCCTTTTTGACTATTGAGTTGCTGACATTTATTTCCTCCTGGAAAGTAATTGCATTTATATTAGATTTTTTTTGGACATATGGACAAAAATGGAGCAAAACAGCAGGATAATGAGCATTCAATTCTAAGTTAATTGTGTCACTGTACATAATTTGTATACATGAATTCTACTATAGCATATAATTTGATCTGAGTTGAATGTCACTAAATCTAAACTATGCATCTCCTAGAAAAATATCACCCAAATTTTATCCATTTATTCACTGTAAATATGCCAATTTCTGAAGGCCATTGGGCAAATGTACAGAAATGACACAAAATTGAAATAAGTTCAGGAGTAAAATTTTAAGTTATATTATAAAATAAAACACGTAGAACTGTTTCCTAGCATGGTTTGAGACATGAACAAAGGTTAAACTTATTATTAAAATTAATATCCAAACTCTTGCACCAAAGCAAATGGGCTGTATATAAACGCATTTGATCTAGAAGCGCACATTTGATCTCATCAGTTTCTTGCCCCTTTCGAAATTACCTACATCTCTTAAGGGAAACGGATTGCAATATATCATTTGTGTGTCTATAATATCCATAACATTTACCTGATGCAATGTTGTCAATTACATATTTTTATATATTCAAATAAATAACTCTGATCAAATTAGATCAAAATGCCTATACAAGATTGTTATTTTGTGCCAGCTTATCTCACAAGCTGCATGAGTATGTAAGAAGTCTCACACATAAATATTAGTGAAAAGCCCCTGCCTTATTGATAATTTGTGAGACACTGTGAAGTGGAGGAAGCACACAAATTAGGATCAACAAGACCTGAGCTTAAAACCTTGATGTTGCTCATACTATCTATTTCATCTTAGCTAGATTACTTAATCTTTCAGAACCTCAGCCTCCTTGTCAGAAAGTTGACATCAAGGTTGTTAGGTGAGTTAGAAATGTGTTAAGTATCTGGATTTGGTAAAGTGCTTAGTGCACATTAAATTGCTCAAAATGCTTCTTACTATCATTATTATACATAAAGAACACGAGGCAGTAGAGGATGTTAAAAACCACATTTTGCATAATTTAAATTTGTAAAAAATTGATTACATTAACCCATCCATTTTTAAGTGTGATTACATTCATTGTATTTAAGGAATAGATTACATTAATCCGTATCTTTAATGAATAGATAACTGATATCAAGATAATGAGATATCTTAGGAAATATACCTGCCTATTGTTCATTTCAGAAAGCTTCAAAATTGTAAAAATTATGATATTACAATATATTCTTCACTTATTTATTATAATAAGAAATGAATTACTTATTAAATACATATACATTTATCTATTGCTAATATTTCAAGGAAATCTTTATAGGGTCTTTTTTCTTTAAATATCAATCTGTCATAGAGAATTAAACCAAGATGTTGAAAAAAAGGAATAAAATAAATCATCTATTCAGATATATAACAAAGATAATATTTTATGCACAGATTTTTATTTCAGATCATATTATAGTAGAAATGTTTTACAAACATTATTTCCCATAACTGCATCATTATATGAATATATACATAAAATTAAATAATTCTATTATATGTCACATTTAGTTTTGTGCAGTCACTCACTATAGCAGACAATGTTACGTTAGAAAAGCTAGTATAAAATTGGTTGTATTTATCTCAGACTATTTCTTTAAGATAAATTATTAGAAAGGTTATCAGTATATTAAAGTGCATGAACAATTTAAAGCTCTTTACATGCAGGCAGATTCTCCATTAGAAAGCTGGAATCATTTTACACTAATATCAACTAACTTGCTAATACAGCACATCTTAAACAATGCCATTCTCATTTTTTCTTGTTTTTTAAATAAGTTTTTGAAATTTTAATGATGTGTTTTGTTGATATCTATCAGTTAGACTAAGTTGTATTTATTTTTTTGTTATTTTGTGAATTTAATTTTCTTTTCTCGTACTCAATTTTATATTTAACTATAAGGGCTCCTTATCAATAAAGATACAAACCTTATAAACCTTGTCACCCATGCTTCCTTTATCACCTATAATAAAACCAAATACAGGAAAATAAGTGAAATATATATGATCATCAATTCATATTCACTATGATCTAATGAAGTTTAAGACTTAGTGTTCGTAACTTATAAGACCCACTAAAGTCTTGAGACAAATCCTAGTAACATGTCATATGGTTATACAATTTTGAAAAATTTGCAAACAAAATACATCTTTACTGCTGTAAGTTAAAATTGTTGATCCACTTATGTTTTCTCCTGGTATGTTCTATCATCAATTGGGGAAGAATCATAGAAGCTGTGGCATTTTTTAGATCTAGCCAAAAAAAGTCACATTTGGGAATACATTTAATTTGACTTATTCAGATATATTTATTTTGTTCAATGCCAAAGCTGTTTATTATTACTTTTTGTTTTCATAATTGTATGCTTTTAAAAAAAAGCGTATGCCTGGATATAAAAATCTTAAACTCCATAAAACTTGTATCCATTCCATATACTATTATTATGTATGGTTGACAGATGACCTAGAAGTTAATTTTCAACAGGAAGGAAGCTATGCCAAAGATATTATGCTAAGATATGAAAGTTACTCCTTTTAAAAAGTTGGGACTGTAGGCCTCCCAATGAGACATGCATATGATCTCAATCATCCAACCCCCATCCTTATCCCCAATCTGTTAGGCCAGTTGAGAGTGAAAGTAAAAAAGCATTATATACTCTTTCCCTATTGAGGAGGAGGAGGAGGCAGAATAGGTGTATTCTCATTGTTCTACTGCTCTTTATGTGTATTTGACCTCAAGGAAGACTCTAGTGTATCATAATACCAGTAATATTTCCCCTCCAACATTGCACACCCATTCTAAAGATCTTGTCCTTACTTATCTAAGCATATCTTATTTCCTAGAAAGACTAGAAAGAGCAGCCCTTCTTGCATACACAATAGTAAGAGCAGGAGTTAGATTAGAGGGAAGGCTTACATTGGACACTGCATTCAGGTTTATTTTTTCTGGTCATCTGACTCACCCTTTGTGACATATGTAAGCTTGCTCACTTAGGAGAACAGTCTTATTTTCAAGCAAACATGAAAATAATGATACATCAAAGAGAAATATAAGCATTTCATAGAAATGTAAGAATATGAACAAACACTAAATCTTTGAGTTAAAATAAATTTGGGGAAAAGGGATAATAGAAGAGAACAACCATTTTGCTGCAGATAATGTATGAATGGATGATCACTTGATGCATCATGCAATTCTTAATGTCCTTTCATATTCTTTTCAAGAAGCATATGTTTCAAATGAGAAAAAACTATGTATGAGAAAATTGGCAACAGTTATATATTTATCTCAAACACTAAGAAAGTAAAATGCATATACATAGTGAATAATATAAATAAGAAGCAAGAATTGACATCTGGTATGAAAATAAGCAGAAAATATAGATGATAAAAATGAGAAAACATGGTGTGCTATTGTTGAACTCATAGCATTGTCAATTATAATTTTGGAATAGTGATATCTAACGTTCAGATGATCACCTCAGAAAGTTAATGTGTGCTAATGAGAATATTATTTATTTGACAGCCACCATCAAAATTTTATAGTATTCTAATAGGACATTTATTCAGGATATAAACATCTACAGCAAAGAATAATAGTATATATTTTAAGATGATTGATACAAACCAAATATTTGGTATTATAGCAGATATAAGGAGAAAAACCATTTACTAATTATTATTCAATTACTTTAGTTGTAACTCCAAAGAAGAGCCACATAGGACAGATAACAATTCTTATTGGATTAGTAGTTTTCTCAAATGCAAATATTTCCATTAGTGAACACTTTGTGAGGTACACTACAGGATTTGTACAGAAGATAGCAAAGCTGGGGAGGATAACATAGTTAACCTACAAATATTGCCCCTAGGAAAAATACTGTGAGATGCTATGAATACGAAATTGCCACAGATATGCATAAAAATATCTCATATTGCAACAAAAGATCCTCCAAAATATTCTAAGGATCTCTGTATTCTTTGTGAACATTCTTTAAGCATGGAAATCAATGAAGCTACAGCATTAATATCCGCATTATCAATTTTTTATAATCTCAAACTTTACAACTATTCTTTCTGAAAACTGATGGTTACTAAACATCAAATTGAAAATACTGTTGTCATAATTCATATAATATAGAATGTGAGCAAAGATTCAGTTCTGAAAGCAGCTTATCTAAACTATATAATTTTTAGTCTAATTTTATCATTATGCTATTAATTAAATCAATGTTGAAAGAAAAATAATATAGTAATGGAAATTCAATATATCTTTTGGCCCCTAAAGCAAGCAAATGATTAACATTTTGTAAAGAATATCAATTGATAAAATTAGTTTTAAAATATATGTATTCACAATATTGATTAAATTACAAAATCTTTTGCCATTGATGACAACTTTCAATATAGAATATTAGAAAAACAATAAAGATGATTTATGTCAAACTGCAAATGTCATGACCAGCCCATTGTGTTATACAATATAATTTCAAAATCAATGTATTTTAATTCTGAATACAAAAAATTAAATATAAAAACATGGAAGGTATTTCGGCCTTTTTATTGCTTCCTATGGCATATGTCACTTAAAGAATAATGGTATATATGTGAACTTAAATCTAGTAAAAATGTAAAATGAAATGATATAAGCATATCATATTGATGAAATATTGATTTATACAAAATAAAACCTTAAGGTATTTTCTTAAGCCTAACATGGTGCTTATAGACGAATTACAAAATACTTTCAATAATAATATATCAGACATGTTTGGAAATAAGTATGTAGTATTAGAATATCTTTTTCCTTGCAAGGAATGACTGCCATAGTAGAATATAGGTTAAAAGAATAGATAAAATTTATACCATTATCTTTATTCTAATTATTTTCTCCAAAATGTGCTGAGTGTCTTTGGATTGTGATAACATCTTTGGCAGACCAACTGAAACACTCACTGCAATAAGCTGTAACAGTATAAAGTTCTTTAATAATGCATTCTTCTAAAGAAAGAAAAACTACAGAGAATTAATTCATTCTCTTGGCAATTGTGAAATCACAGTGTAACAAAAACAGAATAAGAGACCAAATGTATTAGTCTACTGCAATGAAATAAAATAAAATAAAACAAAAAAATAGTTAGAAATGAACCTATAATTGGAATCCTAATGACTTTATCTTTTAAATTCTCTGTAATACCATACATTAAAAATATAATTTTAAGTTACACTCAATTTATGAAATAGGCAGGTACAATTCTTACTCTTCTCTGAGAACAACTTAGCACTGGTAACTCTGAGCAGAAAAACATCCTTTATAATGATTTATAATACTTTATTATTACACTACTTATTGAGAAAAAGTGATAGTTATGAATGTATTTACAGAAAAAATAAAATTTAGACCTCAAATTTCATTTGAGGTTTCCTTAGCCACTGGGAACTGTAAGTTCATTAAACCTCTTTCTTTTATAAATTGATCAGCCTTGTCTGTGTCTTTATCAGCAGCGTGAAAATGGACTAATACAGAAACTGGTACCAGTAGAGTGGGTGCTGCTGGAAATATACCCAAAAATGCGGAAGCGGCTTTTGAACTGGGTAACAGGCAGAGGTTGGAACAGTTTGGAGGGCTCAGAAGAAGATAGGAAAATGTGGGAAAGTTTGGAATTCCTTAGAGACTTATTGAATGGCTTTGACCAAAATGCTGATAATGATGTGAACAATTAAATCCAGGCTGAAGTGGTCACAGATGCAGATGAGGAACTTACATGTCATCCATGTAAGACATGACTTGCTCCTCCTTGCCTTCTGCCATGATTGTGAGGCATCCCCACCCATGTGGACCTGTAAGTCCATTAAACTTCTTTCTCTTGTAAATTGCCCAGTCTCAGGTATGTCTTTATTAGCAGTGTGAAAAAGGACTAATACAGTTATGTATTGATTGAAGAGATATGAAGGCTTATAATTTCATAAATAGATAAGAAGCTAGATCATTTTTAATTTTCAAAATTGTTCCAGAGAATTGAAAGATGAGAGATTTTAAAGCCAGGGAGAGATACATATAATATGTTATGCCCTCATATGTAAAAAATTAAATAATATACCAACACATCAATTTTTACAAAATATTTTAATAATATTTTTATGATTTAAAACAAATTATGGTATAATTAAAGAAGAAAGAAATTAAGAGTTGCTTTTCCATATAATAATAAGAATACATGTAAATATATGTGTATTAAGACCTGTACCATATATCGCTACTACTCCAAAGTGGATTTCTGTTAGGTGAAATTTTGGCTTTTTATTGTAATAAACTTAAACATAAAAAATTACCATCAAAACACTTATTACAAAACATTCAAATCACCCTCTTTTATAAATGTATAAACTATGTTTGGGGCCAAAACTGTTTTTAAATAAGCTCCTATTTTATTTTTTCAACTGTTTGATTAAAATTTTACCTTGATATTTATTCATTGTGACAAATGTAAAATTACATGGACACATATGTATTTCAACACTAACTTTCATCTATAAAAAACAAAAATTCACCAATTAAATTCCTATCCCCAGAAATAATACTACACCTATATCTGAAAATTATTTTGTACCTTATCTTAGAGCTCTTTCGTATCTATAAACTTTTAGTATATAAAATAATTTTGTCTACTTTTATATTAACACTGATATAAAAGTGGTTATTATATTAAACAATGATATAATAAACACTATTTTCATTTTTTAAAATTATAATCAATAGTCCAGTGAATCACTTGATGTTTATCTTTTTGGTGATGACTTTTATGATAGAATATTAGAATTGGAAATGCTAGCACAATGATTAGGCACATTAAAAACTTGTTTGATTATTTATAGGTTGTTCTCCACCAAAAGAAAATATGAATATTCATTCTCAATAACAAGATATGGCATTACCTATTTCACCATAAGCTTTGTTTTAAAAAATAAGATTAGTGAGTTGCATATCATTTCTGTGTTAATTTCCATGTTTCTGATTAACAGTGTTTTGAATATCATAAGATATATATTTTTTTAAAGTTAAGTGTGTTTTGTCTGTCTTTCTTTCTTAACCATTAACAAAGACTGAAATAAATGGAATTTATGTTGTTAAGCATGAAAGAAATCTTTTTAGTGAGAAAGAGAAAAAGGGGGCAAAATGACACAATTGTTTTTGGTAAAATTATGTGAATCAATGCAAGCTGCTCAGAAGGGCACTAAGTTAACCCAGAACCAACCTGTCTTGAATGTAGATAACATGTGGGTAATTAATTCAATATAGATAGACAACTTCTATGTGTCCTAAAAGAGGCTTTCAACTAATAAATGTATAAACGGATTCGATAGGCTTATTTTTCCTCCAGGCAAGGACATTTTAAGTCATGGCCACCATAAGAGAAGGAGAAGATATTAGGTCTGCTCATTAATGAGGGGAGTGTAGAGCAGCTGCATTCTATAATATAATTGTATGTGACCTAGCTTCAGTTCTAAAGAGGGCATCCACATTATAAAGCTGGTAAAATACACATTAAATTCACTGGATTAAGGCATGTACATTTTAGAGGATGGATATCAGACCGATGGTAATACATGCTCAAATTACAGAAGCAATTGAGAAATGTATCTCTTCGCAGTAAAAACAAAAACTACCTTTATGTTTTACAAAATATTAGCAATTATTTGAAATTTAGCTTATTTTTCAGCTTGCTCAGGAGGCAGATAATACGATATTTTCACATGATAAATAATTATGTTTCTCAGTTTGTTTGGAAATCAATACTTATAATAGGAATTACTACAGCCTCATTAACCTCAAATTTAAGAATGTCATTTTATATCCATTTTTCTGACCATATGAGGTTCATATTAAAATGTTAGAAATTTATTCTCTAAGTTACACTCAATACATGCAATAGGCAAGTACAATTCTTATCCTTTTTTGAGAACAATTTAATTTACCTTAGTTACTTTGATGCTAGTACTGATAAATATGAGCAAAAGTAAAATTCTTTATATGATTTGTTTATGATATATTATTAGACTGCTTATTGAGAAAAATATGATGAATGTATTTACAGAATAAAATTTATAACTCAAATTTTATTTCTACCAAAATGTTACATACTGATTAAAGAGGTATAAGGCTTATAATTTGATAAATAGATAAATGAATAGATTGTTTTCATTTTTCAAAATTGTAAAGAAAGATAAGAGATTTTAAAACCTGGAAGAGATGAATATATTATGTTATGCCCTCATATGTAAAAAAAATTACATGATATGCCAAAAGCAAATATTTTCACAAAATAATTTAATGTTAATATTTTTATGACTCAGAGCAAATTATTATTTCTACATCATCATAAGGCAGCTGAGGCATAAATTTATTTCTAAATTAGAAATTTAAAGTAATCTTATTTGCTCTTATCAAGAAAGTCTGGATGGGTTATCTTCAGTTACCCTAAATGATAATCTATAATCCTGTTCCCAAATCTTATTTGTGTGTATGAAAACCACCTAGAATTTCTTTCACTATACAAGTGACACTTATTTAGAGAGTATATGGCAACTATAAGTTATAATTTTAAAGATACAACAGACTTGACTCAAATTCACAAGGCAATAACTGCTTTTTGTACACATCCAGTATAAACACATCTTGGATTTTTCTGAATGGAATGACCAGTTTTGTGAAACCCTTGAAGATCAGAACCTATTTTAATATAGTTTTCCTTGAAAACTTTTAATGAGACAGTATTGCTTGAACTATTAATCTTTTAATGAATACATATTTTGACAAATTATGGGGAAAAACATTTACATACTTAAACCAACGTAAACTTAAATCACTCCAGAACAGAAAACTGTAGAGACTTCAGGGACACCTGCTTCAGGAGGTTGATGAGTAATGAATATATTTGCTTATTTTAGTTTAAACAATAGCATGAAGTAAACAATACATTTAAAGTTTTGAAAATATTGCATCACCTACGTTCTATAATTATTTACTTGAAAAAAGTCAAATAAATCAATAAAAAACATTACAATGTGGTTTTTACTATAAAGATTCATTATGCTTCTATTTTTTAGCAAGCTCTGCACTTGCAGATTATGGAAGAAAAAGCACTCCTGAGAAACTATAAGGTATCTAGAGGAAATTTAAGAAACCTTTTTTCAATGGATTAATATTTAATCTGTCGTAACTACACTAAAAATGCAAAACTATTTTAAAGTGTTTAGTGAATTATCTGTCTTTTTCCACCTCCTGAGCTCCAGATTCCAATAACCTTCTCCAGAGGAAATAACACCATGTTTTCTGTGCACCTTTCCCCCTGCCAACATATTTCTCTATCCATCTTGGTTTTACTCAGGGTGACATACAAATTCAAATTGTTCTGTGTTCCCAATAATAAAACTAGTACTTTTTTCTGTAGTTTTCCTCCTTAGTGTATGTATGCATATGAGTGCACATGTACTTATGTGTGTGCTCTTCTGACTTTTGGAAGACTATTTCAAATTGTTATAGTGATGGCAGTGGCGGCCCTTCTGGAGCAGCCGCTGTGAAGATGCCAGCTACAGCAGGGGAGGTGCAACCTGGGCTGCACACTCCACAGAGCTGGCAGGAGCCAGGAACAGGAGGGAGCTCCACCCGCTTCCAAGTTGCTGGGGTGGGAACCCCACCTTCCTAGGTGCAGCTACAGCTGCCCACTTGCAGCTGTAGGCCCAGACATCACTGCACTCTCCAGGGCCAAGGAAGTCCTCCTGTCCCCACAGACAGTAGTGCCTGCTCCTGCTGGGTGGCACTCTGATTTTGGAGCAAAGTTGAGGCCAAGCCTGGGTGCTGTCACAACTCAGCTGGGTTTGCAAATGCTTGGAGTGGTGCTGACACACCAGCCCCCTGCTGCCTCGGCCCCTTCTGGACTTTGGGCTCCAAGGAGCACAGGAGGGAGGCCAAGGTGGGACTGAGGGAAGCTTGGCACAGACTTGCAGGCACCCCTTGGCACGAACAGCCATGGTCGACATGATTGACAATGGCAGGAGGCATACAGGCTCCTGGGTAGAAAGGGGCAGGTCTACCCTGAAGCCCTACCTTCAATCCAGGGATGGCCTAAAGTATGAAGGCCAGGCTGTCAGTTCCAGATGAAGACTTTGGACTTAAGTGAGAACATATTGTGCTTTGTCTGAGTCCACCCATGCCTTCCCATGGACCAATCAGCACACACTTCCTCTCTTCTGAGCCCATAAAAAACCCCAGACTCAGTCAGACTCAGTCAGACTCAAACAGATGTCAGGACAACCTGCCTGCAGATAGGACCTACCCATCCAGGTTTCCTCTCCACTGAGAGCTGCACAGACGTCAGGATGATCTGCCTGTGGAAAGGAGCTACCCACTTCAGGTCTCCTGGGAGCTGTTCTGTCATTCAATGAAGCTATTCTCTGCCTTGCTTACCCTCCAGTTGTCCATATACCTCATTCTTCCTGGATGTAGGACAAGAACTTGGGACCTGCCAAATTGCAGGACCGAAAAAGCTGTAACACAAACAGGGCTGAAACATGCCCCTCTGCTCGCCATGTTGTGGTGATGAGAAGGAGAGAAGAGCTGTGGTTCTTTGGGGAGCCCAGACCTAGAGGCTCCCTGAGCCAAGGCTGTGACATCCTCTTTGGGGCTCTATGATTCCTGGTGTCTCCAAGCTTCCAGGCACAATGGTGTTCCCCTTGGCCAGATATGGGTGTCCACAGCAGAAGCTGCATGCAGTACATCTGGTTCAACCAAAGCCTTGCATGGAGCCAGCACCTGTGCCAGCACCTGGAGCTGCCTGCCCTGCTGCTACAGCCAGACTGCCTGGCTATGCACAGTGGCCAGACCTCATGCTCTCTCACCCACACACCCCTTGCCATTCCATTCCTGGCTTGCCCTTGGCAAGTGTGGGATCTGGACTGGTAGGGAAAGCTGAGCACAGCCTGCCAGGCTGAGTGGGCAAAACAAACCCAGAGGGTGTGAGCAATACTAGGCAGAAGGCACTGCCAGCCACAGAGTTTTCTGGCTGGTGAAGCTTCACCCTAAGGATCCTATGAAAATAATAGTTACCTTCACAATATTGTATTATTTATGTTAAAACCCACATACTAATATGAATGCTCACCTTCTCTAGAATTGCATATTCTGACCTATGTTATTATATTATTATTTCAACATCATCATGATATGATACAAATCTGTAACAATTATTATTTGACGGTTTAAGTCTTGGGTCTCTATCTTATGGATTCAAAACATACTGTCAGTTTTTTTATCACAACCTCACTACTTTTCTACCACTTGGCTAAAACTTCAATCTCTAAAATCTTTTTATTAGTGATACTTTCTTAGAGTTTATGCATATTTGACAGTATGTTTCACTTTATAAGTGAATATAAGTTTAATAGAATATAAACTTATTGGATCATACCAAAGATTCCTGAGGACTTGATAGATATTATTTCATTTTCTTCTCACTTTTAATCTTGTTTTGAAGAAGGCTGAGATTATTCCAATATTTTCCTATTAACAATGACTTTTTATTCTTTATTGCCTTTTTTCTATGTACAAACATTGCCCAGTTAATTTACCTGCTTATGTCTCAGTATTGACCAATTAATATGCATTTTTATTAAAATATCTTAGGACACGATGTGTTCTTTTTTATCTCGAAATTCAAGTCTTGTTTACTTAGAAAATATCTAACAAAATATATTTTAAATATTTTTATTCTGTTTATTCATTTATTTTCAGTAACACTATTACCTGTATAGTGCATTTATTTGAACAGTTCCCTGTATCTATAATTTACTGATAGATATTTTTAAATTACTTTAACTTTTTAGTTTTACATTGCTCACTTTTCTCAAGGCTTCCTTCTATTTCCTGGCAATAATTCATCAACAGTGTCCCTTCTCTGTTATTTGTTCTAATAACAGCTTTATTTCTATGAATGGTCTTATTTTTCTTCTACACATTTTTTTCAATGCTCAAAATTTATTTATTTTCTTTTTATAACTTTTAATGTTTACTGCTTTTTATTATTTTTACTTCTTTTGCTCTTGATTCCAGTATTCCAATTTTATTCACTTAGATCCATGGAAATTTTATTTTTTTTCACATTTTTAAAAATCTCTGTAGCATTTATTTTGTTTTTATGCACTTCATATTTTATTCCTTTAAAATGTTTCTGTCAATTTTTTTGTTTTCTAATTCCTTCTATAAAATTAATATTTACAATTGGAAGTAGGAATTTTTTCTTGGATGTGCTCCAGGTGGAAGAGAATGGTGGAAGTGACAGGGGAATTCTCAGGGATTTTTTCAAAGTTTCACAGACTCATTCCATATATAACTCCCTGTAGTGTTCGCAAGAGTTTTGCAAATGAGAGTAACTTATTTGAGTGGGGGAGTCACCTTTTAGTTTGCTTAACTTGACAGATATCTGAGGGTGGGTAACTGACACCTGCTGAAATGCTCTTTGCAAAGACAAGGCTTCTGCAAAGTTTCTTGTTTATTCCTTGTTATCCTGCCATTATGTGAGGTTAACAGGGTTCTGAGAGGCTTCCACAGCTAACTCATGTTCTAAACAAGGGATCACTGACTCTGTTCCTCAGGATATGCCCCTTTAGTTACAAGTTTCAGTGTTTTGTTGATGTTACCTAGGATCTATTACTTCTTGGTTATTGTTTCTCTCTGGTCAATTTTCTCTGCTTCTATCAGAATTTCATCATGTTAGATTTCATTTGTTTTTTCATTTATAGGTATTTTCTGATTTCATTGAATATAAATTCTGTTTCCTAAATTTCTGTGTTTGGTTTCAGAGAAGAGAAGAAGACAGAGAGTTGCCTTTCTGGGAGGAGTGGGTTTTGAGCTGGAACACATAGAAATTTAGGGACACTGTTGGGGATAATGGGACTAGATCAGGTTTGTTATAAAACAGAATAAAAACAATAAGGCTCTTTTGGAGAAAGCCAGTCTATTAATTTCACTGGAAAAGAATGTTTTACAGTTACATCAATCTAAGATTGATGGTATAGTGATGAAGGGTTAAAAAGAGAAGTGAGATGCCTTGAAGTTAAAGGAGTTGGACTTGATATTAAAAAGTGGATTAAGGCATAAATAGAAATATGTTGAAGTTTAACCCCTTTACTGGGGTCTCAGAATGGTTTAGTTAAGACTGAGTGTAAACTGAAACAAATTAGTTTTTAAACTATGGAGTATTTGAAGAAAAGGTGGGATAATATGCAAGTCATTAGTTAGAAAATAAAAATCTGATAGCTTACGTAGGAAACAACGTATCCAATATGCATTTGATGTTTTTTCTTCAGTGTTATTAAAACTTTTGCTAATTCAAGATTTCTGTATAGAAAATGAAAGATGACAAATTGGATAAGCATAGAAAGCCATATTTTTAATTCCAAGTGATCTCTCTACTTAGATTTTTTAATTTTAAAAGAATTGCAGACTTATTCTAATTGTTGTACTTAACCCAACCTACTAAGATACCTGGTGACAGATTCCAAATGAAAAAAAGGAACAATTTAAATGTCTGTCTGATTATTGCACTGAATTCCTTAACTTCATCTCCATAAATGATATGCCACTAGATACCTAAATATGGCATAGCTAGACATTTTTATACTCCCAACATAGTTTTCTTTTTTGTGCTTTATTAATTACAAATTAAATAGCTTTTGGTCACATGAAATTCAATTGAATATTGATATCTACTGTGGTATTTTAACATTATATCCATCTAGATGAATCACCTTAGAAATAAACTCTCCACGAAATAAAACTCTTCTAAAACTTTTCATGTACTTCTATGAAACCAGAAGCATAGGCATCTGAGCTTGGTTAGCCTAGAGTGCCTATTTAGTGTTTATGAAAGTTTCGTGTACAGTGTTCATGGAAGTGTCATAATCCACAAGTCAGAGCAATTTGGGTTAAATGTCCAACTTGGCCATTTGCTATTCGGGTGACATTGAAATAGTCGGTTAACCCCCTTGGAACTTAACAACTAACGTCACTAAAATGAGATATAACATAGATATTATCAACTAATCTTTTCCAATTTATTTACTTTTTGGTTTAACACAGTTTTACAGCATTGTTCAGGTATAATTCATATTCAAAAAACTTTACATAACGTATATGAAGTGAGATGGACATATTCATACACCTGTGTTACCATCACCATGATCAAGGTAATAAACATATTCATCACTTCTAAAAGTTTTCTTGTGACCTTTTGCTTTTGTTTTGTATGTGATAAGAATATTTAATAATAAATCTGTCCTATTAACAAAGTTATAAGTGTGCAACACTGTATTGTTACCTATAGGTACTAGGCTGCACGGAGGATATTTGGAAGTTATTCATCTTGTATAACTCTAAGCTTGTACCCATTGAACGACATTCAGGGGATGGTGGCGAGGGGGAGATGGAAAGCTGCTCAATGGGTTTATCGCATTTTCTGAGCATTTACTCTATTTTAGTCAAAACTCTAAGTTCTAAGGCTACAGCTATGAATACAAACACTATAGCTAAGAGTTCTGCTTTCATAAATTACATGTCAGGTAGAAGGGAATAGCAGGAAAGTAATCAAACAAATATTATAGTTATCAAAGAATGATAAGCGATAGAAAGTTAGTGGGAAATAGTGACTAAGATTGGAGAGCTTAATTTATTCTTTGTGGTTAAGAAGAACTCTACGATGAATTGCACTTGAGCTGAGACTTGAAGGATGATTAGAGTGAACCATTTAATAATCTTTAACAAAACACTAATACACTAATATCCAGAAAAACAAAGTTATTCAGGGATAGTGAGGATGATGCAAAATGAGGGATAGCAAGGGAGATTAAATTATGATACAATAGACTTTAACAAGATTGGTATAAGATTGGTATAGTTGGAGGAATAATCAATGTGGGAAAGTTTGGATTAAGATGAGGCTTGAGAAGATGGCATGGGCCAGGCCATGTAGAGTGGCATATTAGAGAACAGTAATGATTTGAGATTTTATTTTGATTGCAATAGAAATCCTTTTTTGTTTTAATAAGATTAGTCTGGTTCTTATAGGGAAAGAAAATAATGGAAACAAAGAAAATCATTGGTATATATTTTCACATTCAATAATGTTGACTCCTCATATCATAGTTTATAAAAACTACTTGGCATTTGCAGACTTGCCCACCTCTATCTTCCTTATCCCTAGTCCATCCATTTTGGGTGCCAACTTTAAAAAGTGTTAAGGCTTTGTGAAGAAGAAATCAAAGGATAAAAACATATATCAGCCAACTATTACTACGTAAAAAAGAAACTAATTTGAATATTTTAATAATATGTATATCTCACACGTCTATAGATAGATAGGCTGCAGAGGTCCCACTGCTTCATTCTGCTGGGTGTCTCTAAGGGACATGTTAGCACTGGGTCAGCTGCATAAGTCGTTAATATGCCTTGGACCAGTGGGCTAGGAAAGACATGTGCTACATAGGGCAATGGCATACATGCAAGAGCCTGCAGAAACATGTGAGGCCAGCTTTAATCTCGGCTCAAAATTAATGCTTTTATTTTCACAGATATTTTATAGACAAGAGAAATCCACATAGCTAAGTTTAAAGTGAAAAGTCAAGGGAATAAATTTTGCCTTAAAAAGGAGGAAATGCAAAGTTACATGGCAGAAAGAGTGGATACAAGCAGAAGAGAATTGTGGACAATAACTTAATCTACAAGAAAAAGAACAGCTCTATTTTCCAGGGACATAAAAATCAGTTTAAAAAAGCTTATAAGCCCTGTCATAATCCTCAGTTCAAACTTTATGCATAAAATATTGTTTGCTATCACATATTCAAGCTTGAGTCAAGAAATCTGTGTTCATGTTATACTTCTCAGAAAATTTGTACTCCACATTCACTGACTAAAACACTTTTATGACTCTATTTGTAATTAAACACAGGCCTAAATTTTCATTTCACAGTTTAAACTTAAAATAATAAACTTTCTCTAGCTTCCTGCACTGATATTGACCATGCCATTTATAACTCTTCACACTTGTTTGTCACTTCCTCTATTAAAAATTATCTTCCAAATACTGGATATTCAATACACATTATGAATTAAAGCACTAAAAAGATAACATAAGGAACAGAGTATTATTTTATATAATAAATAGGAGTAAATGAAAACAACATTGATTTGTGCAGAATCTATATTATCAACTTCAGTACTCTCAGAAATACTTGAAACGATTGTTGTAAAACAAGGATATATTACTTTAAGTTACTTCTGTGAAAAATAATTGAATTAGGATTGAACTCTATCAAATGTGATATAAAATATAATTTAAATCCTTCAAATAAATAAAGCCATGTAAAAACACGTAATTTGCTAATTATAAGAAAAAATATTGTTACCAGAGGAGTGTCTCAACTACCAGTCATCCAGGTTCTTAGCATGTCGAACAAAGAACTGGACAAAATGCACAAACAAAGCAACAAAAGAAAAAACATAGATTTATTGAAGTGAAAGTACACTCCACAGAGCAGGAGAGGGCCAATTGCAAAATCTCCTGGAGTTTAAGTACCCTTTAGAGGTTTTGTATTGATTATACTCCATGTAAATGAACACTTGGCCTGTGACCAATCAGAGGCTGAAGTGAATACTTGGCCCATGACCAATCAGGCTGAAGCAAAATTACACCCTATGCAAATGAAGACTAGGTCTGCAATTAATCAGCAGCTGATGTGAAGCCTCCCTGTCTCCAGACCCTGTTCTCCTGCCTTAGTGTGACATAAAAGACCCAAATCAGATGGATTACAATTAAAAGCAACTTAAAAAACAAGAGATGACAATGACTTGTGAATGCCACAAATTGTTCTACCACAATCATCATAACAGGCTTATTGTTATCTAATTTTTGTTTGAACTTATTAAAATATATTTAAATACTCTGTCATCTGGAAGAGTACTTAAAGTATAACTCCATCTATATGTAAAATACATACAAAGTATTTTAGAATATCAACATATCCCAGTAAAATATTGAATATATTGCTATCAAAGAAATAAAAATGAAGAAAAAAGATATGACTATTCTAATATGAAGGTCTAAAATTAGCCTGAATTGGTTTGTTGAAATCAACAATGTACTAATGTGGTATTGTCTCCTAGACAAGCTGTGTAGTGTGTTGATTAATAAGAATTTATTTTTGAAACCATGGGTCCAAGGCAAACCTTAGGGCAGTTTGTATTAGCTTGTCAGCATTTTTTAATGGGTAATATTGATATGCATAATTTGAACCTAGTTTTAGTGAGAACACTAGAGAGCTCTACCATTGGGGCTAGTCATGTAGCAAGAAAGTGCACAAGGGAGGGCAGAGTATAAGAAGTCCTGGCTGAGGATCATAATGGGCCTCCTAGTTCCAAGGTGTTCCATGCATATATCCTTGGTGCCTGATTTGAGAGAGAAGGGTGTGCCATTTTTGTTATTGCCCCATAGAGGAAGGACAACAGAGGCCTGTGTCTAGTCTTTTTTGAGCCTTTGTTGTGAGGCAACTTTTGGCTATGAGGTATATCTTTATTCTGATGCTATTGTTGACTTGTATCCTTTTTCTGCAATAAACTGTAGCTTCAGAGGTATTGTTATTTGAAGTTCTATTAGTCTTTTTAAGAATCAAATTTGTATGACTGTCACCCTATGGCAATTATAAATATCGTTACTATAAAAAAAAAAAAAAGAATTAACCTGTGGTCGGGTACAGTGGCTCACGCCTGTAATCCCAGCACTTTGGGAGGCCAAGGCGGGCGGATCACGAGGTCAGGAGTTCGAGATCAGCCTGGCCAATATAGTGAAACCCCGTGTCTACTAAAAAATACACAAAAATTAGCTGGGATTGGTAGTGTGCGCCTGTAGTCCCAGCTACTCAGGAGGTGGAGGCAGGAAAATCCCTTGAACCCGGGAGGCAGAGGTTGCAGTCAGCCGAGATCGCACCACTGCACTCCAGACTAGGCGACAATGGGACTCCGTCCAAAAAAAAAAAAAAAAATTAACCTGCTTAGTGAAGGCAAGCAGGAAAATTCCTTTGGTGATAGGGTTCTGGAGGCTTACATTTTAAGCAAGTTTTTGTCCCACATTGATTGTTCTAACTGTATTCCACATCATGGGCCAGAATGCTGAATGTACTTGGAGGAACTCTGGACAATTTCTTAGCCACTAAAAGTATACCAAAACTAAAATTACACCAAAGACTTAATAATGCTTTGTTAAATAATTATATGTGAATAAACAGTTAAAATCAATTCACCTCTTCAAATACCTATTGCTACTCTCATGGTATGTGAGAAAAATTGTCAAGTCATTTTGTTTCATACTTTTAAATTTTATTGTTTTATAATTTGAAATAAACTCGTCCTTTTTTATTGCTCAAAGTATTTTTTTCAAATTACATAGATGCATTAACGGACAATCCTCACCATTTCTCCTCACTTCTATCTGTTAGACATTTATATTTCTTGAATAGCTCTAAAGTTAAAATTATATGAATGCATATGAGATCTGCATAATTTGGGGAATGTACTCAGTTTAGTTGTTATTTCACTGTTCTATATTCTTGAGAATTTTTTTCAAAAAGTATCATTAAAATTATTGTCTGTGAAATCTAAATCAGTTAGCATAGACATTTGATCATGGTGATTAGAATTTTTTTACATTTGTAATCCAAACACTAAACAATAGAAAAAAATCATACCTAATTTATTGCACTTCTATTGAACCAACATCATTTGATAATCAAGACTCTGAGATATTCTAAATTAAAATAATTACCATTAATTCATTCACCCTCAAATAGCCCTTTAAGGGATGCCTTCTATAAGGGACACACAACGTTTGTCTGCTTTCTCATTTTACCAGCAACATATCTTCCAACAAAAATGAAAAATATGAAAAAACCCCACTGCTTTAAAAACAGACCATTTCCTTTCATGTACATGATAGAACCAAGCAATTGTAAATGTAAGAGAATATGCAGTTTTCAGAGAAAAAATATACAAAGAAATATCAGAAGATTAAATTTCTATTTCCTGCTTCAGTTGTTTGCTAGGGTTGTTAACGGCAATGAGTTTCAAATGAGGTACTATGGAAGTGATTGCATTACATTTAAAAATAAGCATATATGTACTTTCCTTGAATGTTATATTTGAAGTGTGAATTCATATATTTTTATGGAGGTTAAGGGCTAAACCTTTTTTAAGGGCTGTGAACACACATAATAGCATGGTTATTCAAATATTTTCTTTGATCCAAAATTTATGATTCTAAAAATGTGTATTCTGTGCCAACCTGTTTTGTCTTTATGAAATGATCTCCATATGTAAAGACCATTCTACATAGTTCATTACCTCTTCTAGCTAATTTATAACCATAAGTTCTGTCATTCATTGCTGCTTCTGGTTCTGTTTAATTTGACATTACCTGAATTAGAAAAACCTTAGGTAAAGGCTCTGGATCTATTTTAAACTTAACTTTATCCTAACACAGTCCCAAGGGTGTGAAATTCCAGGTGCAATATTCTGCATTTTACTTTTCACCCCTAAAACCATTAATCTGTAAACTCTTTTACATTTCAATCTCTTCTACTGGACTAAAAAAATACTGGGGTTACTTGTCCCTCCATCTTCTAACCTTTTATTTTCTCACTCTGCATTGTTACTGTTGGCAGTATCACCCACATTCACAACTTTAATTCTAATCTATATGTAGATAACTCTCAAATTCATAAATTTATCTTTGGGTGTTGGAGTTTCAGGCATGTATGTTGCACTTCCTAATTGTTCTCTACTTTTAAGTGTCTCAAAATTTACTCAAATTCATGTCCAAAATCAAAACTAAAACCAAACCTATGATATTTTCTTCATTCAAACCAAGAAATTCTTACATATATTTCACTACTTCCTATAGAAGTGTTTAGCTTTTTCTGTAGAATCCCAAATTGTAATAATACTTAAATGTTTGATATTTGATATTTGTCATTTCTATGAAAGTATAAACTTTATAGGGCAAGAAGCATATCAACATCTGGTCAATATAATATCCCCTTTGTTTCAAATATGATATGCACTTGAAAATATTTGTTGAATGTTGAATTAAGTGATTCTTAAATAGATAGTTGAAAAAGGAAAGACTGGAAAATAGTCCAAAGCTTTTGTGACACATATGTCTCACAAAAAAAGAATTCTAACTATTTTTAAATAATAACACAATTTTGCCTAAAAAAAAGTATTAACCTTATATCAAATAAATAATTCCACAAAATAAAGATTCCTTTATTATATGAATATCTACAAATGATAAATAGATGACAAGTGAAAGATAATAGAAAGACAGATACATACAAACATACATACACAAATAATTTTGGCAAGAAGAGTCTGGAGATGTGGCAAATTTAGGAAAATATAAGAACTTCTGTGGCTTAGAAAACACATTGAGAATTTTAACACTGCTTTTGTCTTTTTTGTCTTTTTTAGTCTTGTTTGTCAAAAAAAAGGACACGATAATTTCAAATGCATGGCTTAGGATGAATGATGCAATGTGTGATTGATCCCTGGTAGTTTAGGTTTCAGCTCCAATCTGGTCATATATTTATCAAAGCAGACAACAAATAATCTTTGGTAAGGACATATTGGTGTCTTTTAAAGAGATGAAAACACAATCTAAATCAATAGTCCCCTAGAGCTCTAAAGAGTTTAATTCCCTCATGTGATTAAACTCTTTATCCCTAAAGACTCCCTTGGTTTTAACACGGAATAAGATGCAACATTTGTTTTACACACACACACACACACACACACACACACACACACACACGTTTTATATATATATATAACAAATTTTACATTATACGTTTAAATATATAAACAAAAGCACAGTTATAAAACCTCTATTTATTAAGCAGCAGGCTGCATATTTTAAAGAAATGAATATTTAACTTCTCTAAGAAGAAATCCATTAGATATTTAAGAATTTATTTCAGTAAAATGGGGAACATATTTATAAATGCATAGAAAGTTTTGTTGCATTATTGTAACAAAATGCCAATTTTGTTTGAAAAACATAACACTTTGGTTTAGTATTGACATTTGACATATTCTGTTCATTTTCTTCTAATACATAGTAGGAAAAAAGAACCACACAAGATGATAAAAAATATGACATAATAATGTTAATATACATATATGGCTAATTTTCTTCTGTTTATCACTTACCAATGTATTTAATGAAACTGAATTCACAGAAAATCTTTGAGAACTGAATAATTCATTTTTTAAAATTTGCTGCTCCTTTTTAAAACAGTACTGAAAAACACTGCCTTAGGGTGAAATTGTACAGTATATCATCGTACATTCTTTGGAATATTCCCAATTTGATTCTATATCTAGGGTCACCATTTCCATTCCTCTGAACTGGAAATATTTTTACTACAGATTTATTTAAAATATATTAGTCTCTTAGACATATACATGTATACTAAATTATGGCTATGGTTTCATATTATGTCAGCCTCTCTAATAGGTTTCCGGTGCTTTTGTTTTTGTCTTTAAATAACACCAGAGAAGAGTTGACTCAGGTCAATTCTCATTGTATCATCGTATTTGCATATCATATAGTTTTTCTAGGTTTAGAAGAAAATATTTACTGTATTATGCAGAAACTCCCTGTTTTATAAATTTATTCTCACTGAATAGGTATTTCAAAGTAAATTATATGCTAAGATAATGTCTGGATTACTAATTCATTATTTTTGATGTGACTCAACTTTATGAATTTTAAGATTTTTACAAAGAAACTGTCACCTTGGCAAAATCATTGAAATATTAGTACCTTAAAAGATTTTCAATTTTATTGCAGATATTTAAACAACTTAAAATAGTAAATTTTTTAAAGTATAATCCATCACTTTAGAATCATGTGTTCCTATAACATCAAAATACTGATCACAAATAATTCTCATTCACTGATTAAATCCTATCTTCAAAGGTAATGCTTTTAATCAAGCTTGATGATAAATGTAAACCCTGAAAATGATAAAATTAAATCTTAATAACGATTATATGTCTAATTCAGAAATAGCTACTGAGTTCTTATTATGTGGGAACCAACGTGCTAAATGCAATGATAAGTATTCTACCTTGACAAAGTTTATAATTTAATAAATCAAGAATGACATAGGTATAAATAAGATTCATATTGAGAGATGAAGTCAGCTGGGCTTCTGGGTCGTGTGGGGACTTGGAGCTTTTCTGTCTAGCTAAAGTATTGTAAACACACCAATCAGTGCTCTGTGTTTAGCTAAAGGTTTGTAAATGCACCAATCAGCACTCTGTAAAAACGGACCAATCAGCACTCTGTAAAATGGACCAATCAGCGCTCTGTAAAATGGACCAATCAGCAGGATGTGGGCAGGGCCAAATAAGGGCATAAAAGCTAGCCTCCGAGCCAGCAGTGGCAACCTCCTGGGTCTCCTTCCACAGGGTGGAAGCTTTGTTCTTTCACACTTCTTAGTAAATCCTGCTGCTCACTCTTTGGGTCCACACTACCTTTATGAGCTGTAACACTCACTGTGAGGGCCTGCAGCTTCATTCCTGAAGTCAGCAAGGCCACGAACCCACTGGGAGGAACAAACAACTCCGGACGTGCCACCTTTAAAAGCTGTAACACTCGCTGTGAAGGTCCATGGCTTCACTCCTGAAGTCAGCAAGACCAGGAACCCACCAGAAGGAAGAAACTCCAAACACATCTGAACATCTGAAGGAACAAACTCCAGACACACCATCTTTAAGAGCTGTAACACTCACCATGAGGGTCTGGGGTTTCATACTTGAAGTCAGCGAAACCAAGAACCCACAGGAAGGAATAAATTCCGGACACAGTATCAGGTAGAAAATACCAACTGTTCTCAATTAAACATAGAAAATAGGATAGATCAAAGTCAGGAAGCAGATATTTTTTATAATGTAATATTTCATTCCTCTTTCTCTTTACCTAATCATCCTCAGTTTATACATTTGAATTTTGTCTAGATATTTGGATAATGTGTAAGGCAAATAATTACATTTCCCTGAATCACTTTTTGTGAATGAATTCTAGTTAGAGTTGGCCAAAAGAGAAAGTTCTGTGAAATATGAAAGTTTTAGGAAAAGTAGAGGACATTATTCTTGAAAAGTTGTCATGGTCAGACCTTGTGATAGACAGAAGTGAGTCTCAGCTTGTCCCTTTCTCCTTTGTTCCACATCCAGCGTGTCTCAACAACTACCAGCTTGGCTGACTAACAGCAGTCTCTGAGTTACTCAGTTGAGGTCCATAAAGACGGTAGTTTTGTAGGTGAAATGGCCATTTGTCATAGATCGCTTCATGAGCTTTTATTTTGTAGTCTGTTTCACCAGCCAGATTGGCGTATTGGATTTTCTGTAAATGATGACTTGTTCACCCATTCCACAGTTGCAGGTGAAAAGTTATTTTTCTCTGATTCTCTAACGTATCTCTTCCAGCCTTTAAACTTCTCAGCATCTCCTGAATTTGTGTTATGTAATTTCTATAATATGTCTTTCATTTCCAAAATACTTGTGGCACCTAGACATTCATGACAGTAAAGATATAACAATATGTGTTGTTCATAGAGAACACACTATATTTTATCTCAAAGGTAAACATTATATTAAACGTACCCTGTTGAATAGGCAATATTACCTTTATTATGTGGATTTTTTAAAACAAGACTAACCTAGCCAGAAAAATCAGGCAAGAGAAAGGAACAAAGGGCATCCAAATTAGAAAGGAGGAAGTCAAGTTACTGCTGTTTGCAGATGACCTAATATTATATACAGAAAACCCCAAAGACTCCACCAAAAATTTATTAGAACTAAGAAACCCATTCAGTAAAGTTGAAGGATAAAAAATTGAGAAACAAAAATCACTAGTATTTCTAAATGCCAAGAGCAAATTATCTGAAAAAAATCAAGAAAGCAGTCCCTTTTACAAGAGCTACAAAAAATGAAATATCTAGGAATAAATATAACAAAGAGGTGAAAGACTTTTACAGTGAAAACTATAAAATATTAATGAAAAAATTAAAAAAGACACAAAAATGAAAAGATATGTTTATAGATTTTTAAGAATAAATTTAAGATATTCATGCTACCCAAAGTAATTTACAGATTCAATACAATGTCTATCAAAATATCAATGACATTCTTCACATAAATATAAAAAAAAACTAAAATTTATATGGAATCACAAAAGACCCTATATATGCAAAGGAATCTTGAGCAAAACCAATAAAACTTGAGGGATTATACTACCTGACGTCAAAACATAATACAATCATATTAAGAAAAAAGGCATGGAACTATCATTAAAACAGACACATATACCAATGAAATAGAATAGAAATCCCAGAAATAAACCCACACATCTACTGCCAACTTATTTTTGACAAAGGTACCAGTACACATAATGGATAAAAGATATCCTCTTCAATATATGGTGCTGGAAAACTTGATATCCACATGCAGAAGAATGAAACTAGATTCTCATGTCTCACTATATACCAAAATTAACTCAAAGTTGATTAAGGATGTAAATACCCCAAACAACATAACCACTGGAAGAAAGCATATGGCAAAAGCTCCATGACATCAGTCTAGGTGAGGATTTTTTGGATAAAACTTCAAAAGCACGGGCAACAAAAGAAAATGTAGACAAAAATACTGTAAAATGCAAATCAAACTACAATGAGATATCACTTTCATCAAGTCTGAATGGCTACAATAAAAAAATTAAAAGATAACAAATGATGGTGAGAATGTGGAGAAAAGTCAGTCCTTATATACTACTGTTGGGAATGTAAATTAGTACAGCCATTGTGGAAAACAGTGTGGAAATTCTTCAAAACATTAAAGATAGAACTATCATATGATCCAGCAATCCTACTACTGAGTATATCCAAAGGAAATGAAATCAGTATGTTGAAGAGATGTCTGCGCTCCTGTTTATTGCAGCACTATTCACAGTAGCCAATGTATGGTTAAATTAGATGTTCATCAATGGACGAATGGATAAAGAAAATGTAGTATATATAGACAATGGAATACTATTCTGCCATAAAAGAGAATAAAAATTCTGCGATTTTCAGCAATATAGAGGGACCTGGAGAACATTATGCTGACTGAAATAGGCCACTGAAAGATAAATTCTACATGATCTCACTTATATGTCAAATCTAAAATGTTGTTCTTGTAGAAGTAGAGTAGAATGGTGGTTACAAGAAGATGGGGAGAGGAGAGGGACATGGTCAACAGCTAAAGAGCTAGTTGGGGGAATAATTTCTAGTATTGCATGGTAGGATGACTAGAGTTAATAAAAACGTATGTTTCAAAATAGCCTGAAGAGAGGTTTTTGAGTGTCCTCACAACAAAGAAATGATAAATATTTAAGGCGATGGATATACTACTTACCTTGATTTGATAATTACACAATTTACATATGTGTAAAACATTACATTGTGCCTCATAAATATACATAATAATGATGTAACAATTATAAATGAGATTTTTTAAAACTGGGCCTAAGTAAGGTTACGCATTTTACCAAACACAATGTAATCATAAGTCATACTGTTGGGAGTCGAAATCTGCTCATCTACAATAACGATTTTCTGTACAAATATTTGGAATGGTAAAAATTAACCTGAGAGCCTGATACTTTATAACTGTGTGAGGTGGATGAGTGCCTGACAAAAACTCCATCTAATGCAGAATAAAAGTTGGCAGTCATTCTGTTAAAAAAAAAAAAAAATTCGAACTCTCTCAGAATGCATTAAGCAGATTATCTCAGCTAAACAGCAATTTCTACTCTATATTTAGCTTGTCCAGTGTACTCAAAAAATAGAATACAAAATGTATTTCCTAAGACACTTGCTCTTTCTAACATTTTGGTAGCCACCAGGCTCTTAGAGGTGTGCTGTAATCCTCACTAGAGCAGCATTTCCCACCAATAGATATTTATAAAATGTTTTTACTCCAAGGACACTGGGGCCTTGAGTTACTGACCTTTGTCCCAATGCAGAATCAAAAGTGTTTCCATACCATTGTCTCCTTGACTCATCTCAATTATAACAAAACAAAATAAACCTTTAAGACAGAAATGCACTTAGGATAGCTGATTTACTATTGTTCTGAGCTAACAAAAGTCTTTCTTTCTAGCACATTTCAGATGTGATAATAACAGAATAAATCTTCTGAAAACAAACAAATCTCTTTGGGAGCCAGAGAAAAGCTCTTAAAAGAGTCATTTTGAGGTACCCAATTTCCTCTCTTCCATATTTGGATGTTCAGATATGTTTTGTAGAGAAAGACACTTAAAAGACTAGCTGTCAGACACCTTGTCTCCTTTTTGGGACAGTTTTGTAAAAAACAAACCACTTAAATGTATTGCCTAGTAGCTCATTTTATATTATCTATCTTTCCCATTCCTTCTAAGATGCCAAATGTGTTCTAATGGTCTCATATTTAGGCGAACATTTATACATAATGAAAGGAAATGATTTTGAAAAAAAAACATAATACAGTGTTTACCTCATAAAACTCTCAGAGAAAGAGACAAATATGTTTATCTCCATTCTGCCTTCTCATTTGTATTGAATTTGTAGTTTACCCATCCACACTTCCACACCATAACATCACCACTGCTCTGTGGACAACAAGCTTTTTGTGGTGAAAACCAAACTGCTCTTCTCCTGTCTGACCTTTTCCCTACCCCACTGCCACTCATACAACACAGACTGTATTCAAATGCTTCCTTGTCCCAGACAGGTCTCTGGAGAAGCTTGGTTGTCCTGAACCATCAATGGGCATGAAATCTTTAGTTTGCCCTATTTTAAGGACCAGGAAAAATGTGGCTTCACAATAGTAAACGTTTTGGGCAGTAAACTCACCATACTCCAACCAAACACCAACAGTAAAATGGCACCCCACCCCTGCATCTGCCCCTCCCCTGATGCCCTCAGTGGTTTCAGCAAGGCCTAGCAAGGAATTCGTCTTCAAACCTGCTCCTGGACTGTGAAAACAGGAGGCAGCGTTCCAATCACACCAATGTCTGGTGCTGGCTGGACTTTGCAGTGAGCCAATTTTCCATCCTACAGACAAAAGGGGCAGCAGGTGGCGCTCTAATTCTTCCCCCAAGATGGTGTGAACCGAGTCCAGGAGCCAGCTGAAGCCCCACCGCCACTCAACAGCCATGAGACTTAATGAGGGAGGCAAAGCAGGGTTAGTTACCACTCTACTTCACTCCCAGCACCCGTTCCTATCATTAGAATCAGAAGGAAACAGAGTCTCCACACCTATACGGCATCCAGGAGGGAACAACGTAGAAGGCGGAACTGATTGGCACTGTCAGCTTCTCCTTTCCCTGTCCCTAGTGTCTGCCAGGCCTAACTGGAAGCTGAGCCAGATTGAAGTGGTATAACATTTTCAATTACTGAAAGAAAAGACAAGCCAACCATAAACTCTGTATCAGGTGAAATCTATCAATAACTAAAGGGAAACAGATAGGCTTAAAGGAAAACAGTTTGTTGCTAGCAAACTGTTAAAAGGGAAACTGAGGCATAGTAATGTTTTAAAGTTTATGTGAGTAAACAATAACTCATGAACTGGAAACCTCCAAACCAAAAGTTTGGGAGCTCCACTGAGGAAATGCAAAGGGAAGGCTTTTATAGGATGAACATACAAGTCAAGAAAAGAAACTATTTGATTAGTTACGGTTATACAGTTGTCTTATTTGGCCTATGCTGTTGGAAAATCCCTTGTTGTCTAATTATGTTTGTTGGCTGCTTCAGATTGTTTAAGCTTAAGTTCTGTTTTTCTTTAATATAGGTATTTACAAGAAATAACTTGCAAATCAAGCAAGGTTAAAGTCACTTGCGTGACCTAATTGGCTTTGCCTTCTCAGGGATTCTTCAGATCTGGTCTTCATTGGAACTTTTTTTAAAGCTTTTAAGTTCAGGGGTACATGTGCAAGTTTGTTGCATAGGTAAACTTGTCTCATGGGGGTTTGTTGTACAGATTATTTCATCATTCATGGTAAGCCTGGTACCCATTAGTTATTTTTCCTGATCCGCTCCCTTCTCCCTTTCCCTCCCCCTACCCTCCATCCTTTGATAGGCCCCAGTGTGTGTTGTTCCCCTCTATGGGTCCTTGTGTTCTCATTATTTAGCTCTCACATACAAGTGAAAACTTGCCATATTTGGTTTTCTGTTCCTGCGTTAACTTACTTTAACGTAGCTTGTCTTGAAGAATAGGTGAAAGATTTCTCTTAACAGAGAGGAAATGATAGAAGAAGGCTTGGAACTTCAGAAAAGAAAAGAATAAGATGGGTTAAAAAATGAAAGAACAACAAAATATCCTTCATCTCATGAGTTTTTTTTATATCACATTTGATGGTTGAAGCAAAAATTATTACATCATCTGATGTAGTGCTCAATGTAGGTAGAAGAAACACTTAAGACAATTATACTTAAAACAGGAGAATAAAACTTTTTATGAAAATTAAAGTGATATAGTCATGTGTTAAGGATTTGTTTACCTAATGAATAAATAAGCTTGGTATTTTCCCTAGGATTTTTGTTTTAAATACATTTAACATTACTGGCATAATATCTGATGTCTAGGTGCTTTCTAAAGGCTTATAAAATATTTAAAATCTGAAAGAAACATTATTAATACAAAAACATATAATAATAAATATTGCAACATTAAAACACTACCTTGCGTGAGCTCCTCAAAACTATAAAGATCATGAATGTCAAATAGGGGCTGAGAAACCATTTCTAAATAAAGAAAACATTAAGACGCTTTTTTTTTTTTTTTTTTTTGAGACGGAGCCTCACTCTTTTGCCCAGGTTGGAGTGCAGTGGGCGATCTCGGCTCACGGCAACCTCGGCCTCCAGGGCTCAAGCATTCTTGTGCCTCAGTCTCCCAAGTAGCTGGGATTACAGGCACATGTCAGCCCACCTGGCTAATTTTTTTTTTTTTTTGGTATTTTTAGTAGAGACAGGGTTTTTCCATGTTGGCCAGGCATGTCTCAAATCCTTGACCTCAGGTGATCCACCCACCTTGGCTTCCCAAAGTGCTGGGAAAACAGTCGTGAGCCACCATGACCTCCCATGTTAAAACTCTTGATGAGTAACTGTAATATATATTTCTGGTTTAAATCATGGACCAGAAATTTTAAAAGCTATGGAGAATATTATTAAAACAATGAACAATATTTGAATATAAGTTGATGATTAGTTAGTAATGGAAGTACTTAAATAAAGTGTTACAATGTCAAATTACTCACAAATTATTTAGCAAAAACAAGAAATTAAACTATGTATGTATATGGAGTAAAAGAATCTGAGTGAGGAAGTAATAAATAAGAAAAATGGCAACAGTAGATAAATATGAGGAAGAATATAAAGTTCTTTGTATATTCCTCCAAATTGCAAGTGTAAAATTATATCAAAAGTAAAAGTTTCAAAAAAAGTTTAAGGCAAGACAAAATCTTGGGTAATACATAGGCACACTGGAATTATGCATTGATATAAAATTATTAAATTTATTGAAGCTATAGCTCCACTGATAAAGAGATCAATTAATATGATAAACACAAACCATAATCAGAAATAATAAATAGTATATAACAACAGAAGCATTTAACATGACCTCAACATAGCAGAAAGACCACTTGAAGTCAGGAGTTCAAGACCAGCCTAGACAACATAGTGAGATCCTGTTTCTACAAAAAATAAAACCGTTAGCCAGGCATGTGGTGGCATGTGCCTATAGTCCTAGCTACTTGGGATGCTGAAATGGGAGGATCCTTTGAGCCCGGGAGTTTGAGGCTGCAGTGAGCTCTGATCATCAAAACAAAAAAACCCACAGTGTGTGTGTATATATACATATTTTTTAAAGTGACACTATAACTTATGATCAATGAATCCATAAATAATGAATCAAGTAGCATTTTGTTATATATTCACAAGTATGAAGTATATTTATTACCTATGGCACAAAGTGTGTTAAGAATACAAAAAATAGAAAAAATATGTTAAATAGTTTTAAATATATTGAAATTTTAATGAATATTAAATTTCAGGTGTCTTATAGTACTAAGCATTAGATTAGTTTAGGATAGGCCTTGTATAGAATGGAAGTCATTGTCCTCAGCTCACTGACAACATAATACATGTAGATCACCTAATAGTAATTATTAGGAATTTTAAGGAATTTTATAAAATAACTAAATAGATAATATTTTCAACTCCAAGTTTTTTAAAAAACAATATCTCATTATAGGTATAATTTTGTTATTCGCTTTATTCTGTCAATTAAAGAACTTAAGATCGTTTATAATATTATTTAAACGTACTGACATCTAAATGTTATTCTTGATTCTGTTATGCTAAAAGTCAAGTTGGGAAGAGACTATATAATCAAAATGAATTTTGTTTAAAATCTGAACTTTGTTATGACACAGAATGCCAGTTTAAATTTGACAATCTCATGTGAATTGTCATGAAAATGAGACAGTAATGAACATTACCAAAATGAAAATAAAATATATTTTGGCACTAAAGCTAAAGTATGTAAGATCTAGAATATGTAGACCAATCAAATATAGATCCCTAAGAAGGAAGGAAAATATCTCAGTGACAATTACTGTATTAATTTGAGAAAGGTGGCCACAGGCATAACTTCTGCAATTGAAACTTGAGTGAGAAATGACCAAGACTAAAAATAATAATTTTAATTTAAGAATAACAATAACATATGAAATAGCAATTATTAAGCAAAATGAAAGCAAGCCAAAAAGGTAACTGAATTTTATTAAGTGGAAAATAAAATATTTTAAGAATCCAAGCTGATGTCAAAATGTTATTTATCACATAATTACATATTGCCATCTGTATTAGCCTGGGTTCTCCAGAGAAACAGAACCAATAATATATGGACAGATATATCAGATAAGATTTATTATTAGAACTGGCTCATGTGATTGTGAAGGAGGAGAAGTCCCACAATATGCTATCTACAAGTAGGATAACCGGGAAAGCGATTGTGTAATTCAGTCTGAGTCCTAAGGCCTAAGAACCAGAGGAGCCAACAGTGTAATTCTCAGCCTAGGGCCAAAGGCCAGTCCTGGGGGTTGGAGAGGGCAGTGGTATCTGAGCCCAGGGCCAAATGCTAGTCCTGGGGGCTTGGAAAGCACAGTGGTGTCAATCTCAGAGTCTAAAAGTCTGAGAACGAAGAATTCTGATGTCTGAGGGCAGAAAAAGTTGGATGTCCTAGCTCAAAACAGAGAGAGAAAGAGAATTTGCCCTTCCTCTGCTGTTTTATGCTTTTTCAGGTCCTCAACAGATTGGATGATGCTCAAACACATTGGTGAGTGTGATCTTCTCTACTCAGTCTATCAGTTAAATGTTAATCTTTTCTAAAAACACTCTCATGGACACATCTAAAAATATTTTTTACCATCTATCTGGACATCCCTTAGGCTAGTCAAGTTAACACATAAACTTACCCATCCCACCATCTATACTGATTAAGTAGAAAAGTCCAATATGCAGATTCCAATACCTTTTAGCTTTAGTGCCAAAATATGTTTTCTTTTCATTTTGGTAATGTTGATCACTGTCTCATTTTCATGAAAATACACATGATTTTTCATATGAATTTTGGCTTATGATTATAATATGGAAAGCCAAAAATAGTATCACTTCTACTCTCAGAGCTACAAATCCTATAAACTGTCTGAAAATTCACAAGTTTTCTTAAATCTGTAAGAGGGTTGAGGTCACAGAGCTATGAATTATCTGAGCACTTATTTATCTGAAGCAGATAACATTGGCCCCTGGTTAAAATAATTCAGCTTAAAATATTAACATATTGCCAAAGGCCATGTCTAGTAAGAAAATATGGAATCACTGGGAGGCACAGGCACAAAGGGTATTAGCATCCACTTATGGGCTCATTCACATGGACATAATGTGTGCTCCTATAAAGATTGGGAGCAAGGTGAAAGCATTGAGAAACATACCTGGTTGCCCAGGCCTGGAAGGATGGGACAGAAGCCACCGAACAAAAACACAAGGAACCCTGCCTGGATACTTCCTACTGTCTCTCATATGGAAGAAAAACCTTAAATCACTTGTGGAAGAGCAACCAATGCTGGTACTCTTAGAATATTTGTGAAAACATATGGTTTCTGGGGAAAATTAAGATAGAAGAAATAAGTCTTGGTGTAAACCTTAACTTGCCCACAAAACACAGAGACAGAGTGACTGTCTTAAGAACAAAATTTCATCAAAACAAGAAAGAAAAAAATAGGAGGAAAAAAAGAAAAAAACAGAGTATCTAAGAACAGAGAGACAGGTCTAACATCTGTGTAGTTTGGAATGCTAAAAGACGACAGACAGAACGGGGTAGTGAAATATTTGAAAAAGTAGTGTCAACTTTTCCCCTAAATTAATGACAGACTCCTATTAAGAAACTCAGAAAATATCAAACAGAATGTCAAAAACAAGCACAAATACACACACACACACACACACACACACACACACACACACACAGAGACAGAGAGAGAGAGGGAGAGAAAGAGAGAGTCATATTATATTAAAACCGCCTTAAATGGAAGACAAAGAGAAAGACTTCATTGTGGCCAGACAAAAATATATTCATTACATACAGGTGAACAAATGGAAGAAATAAGGTGGACTTTTGATCAGAAATTATCCAAACCAGAACAAGAGGGAGTGACATTTTTAAGGTGATGAAAGAAAAAAAAAATAGCAAAACTGCCAAACCAATATCCTCTACTTGTATTAACCAGGGTTCTTCAGAGAAACAGAACTAGTAGGATATATGTGTAGATAAATGGAAAAAGATGTATTCTGAGGGATTGGCCTCTTGGGTATAAGGTTAAAAACTCCCACTATCTGCCCTCTGCAAGCTGGGGGCATTAAAGACAGTGGTATATTTCTAGGCCAAGCCTAGAGGCCCAAGAATCAGGAGAGATGATGTCTGAGGGCGGGAGAAGATGAATCTCCCAGCTCAAGCAAATTTGCCCTTTCTCCACCTCTTGTTCTGTTTGGGCCCTCAGTGAATTGGATGATGCCCATTCACATTGATAAGGGTAATTTTCTATAGTCAGTGTACCAATTCAAATGCTAATATCTACCAGAAATACCTTCACAGATATACCCCAAAATAATGTGTGGTCAGCTACCTGGGCATCCCTTAGCCCAGTCATGTTGACACTATACATTAACCATCACAAGTTCATCTCATGTCATTTTGGCACCTATATGCATCTCCTTAAACCATACTTAATTTTCAAATATAAATAATAACATGGTCATAATTTGACCTAACTGGATACAACTATCCTGCATAGAACTGAAAATGCACTAATTGCCTCTTGTATCAGCCATTTTGTATTCCCCTTGCCTTTTGCAAGCCCCTCAGCTGTCATGGTTCTTTACCTGGCAAGGTGGCACAAACCTTCATGCCTGAAGGGTCTGGGCCTTTAGTAGTCCTGCCTGGCTACTGTAGTTTTTCCTTGACTTTAATCACAGGGAATGGTAACATTAAGACACATCTTAAAGGATATCCTGTATTCAGGCATATTCTTCCTTACCTTCATTGTGGAGTAATAGTTTAATTAATGTTTGGTAGTTAAGATCAATCGCTCCAGTCAACACCATAACTCACTTCTTTGCCTGTTGATTCAGAGGCATGAGGATCCCAAAGTGGTCAGGTGGAAGTTTTAACCTCCAATTCAATCAAATCATTGTGTGTCTCTCAGTAAAAGCACTCCTCCTGAAGCCTACTCTTAGGCCAATAGATCATAAAGTCATAAAAACAGGAAGCAAACATTTTGCTTGTCGGTGAATGGGGTGATAATGAGCAGTGCCACTGTCATTGCCACCACTTAATTCCTGAACTATTAACACGCTTAAAGAAACAAGTGAAAAAAGGAACAAAAACAAAAAATAAAACTGAAATTACTATTCTCTACTCAACACACACATATTTCAAGAATAAAGAGAAAATAAAGACTCTCTCAAGTAATCAAACATTGAGAAGAATCACTGACAATAGACCTACATCTCAATACATGTTAAAGAAAAGTCTTCAGGAAGAAGAAATATGATATAAATGAGAAACAGGCATCTACAAAAGGAAATAAAAAGCTAGAAATGGAATAAAGGAAAATGTCAATTTTATTTTTCTCTTATCTTTAATCACACTAAAAGATAAATGTATTAGTCTATTTGTGTTGCTATAAAATAATACATGACTCTGAGTAATTTATAAATAAGAGAGGATTATTTGGCTCACAATTCTGTAGACTATAGAGGAAGCATGGTGCTGGCATCTGCTTAGCTTCTGGTGAAGTCTCAGGAAGCTTTCACTCATGGCAGACGGCAAAGGGGGAGCAGGCATGTCACACGGCGAAGTGGGAGCAAGCAAGAGAGAGCAAGAGGTGAAACAACCATCACTTTTAAACAATCAACTCTTGCGTGAACTAATAGAATCAGAACTTAATCACTGCTGTGAGGACAGCGCCAAGATATTCATGAGGGATGCCCCCCTATGACTCAAACACCTCCCACCAGGCCCATCTCTAATTTTGGGGATCACATTTCAACATGAGATTTGGAGGGAACAAACATCCAAAGCATATAATACCGATTGTCTAAAACAAAGGTAGTAGCAATAGATTGTGAGTTTGTAATATACATAAATATTAAATGTACAACAAAAATGGGAGAGAGAAAATGGGAGTAGACTGCTGTAAGTCTGTCAGACAACAGAAAAGCACTAGAACCAATAAATGAGCTTGGTAAGGTTGGAGTATACAAAATCAATATGTAAAAAATCAATTTTATATCTATGTGCTAATAATGAAAGATTGAATATTGAAAATTTTCTAAAATACCATTTACTGTAGCACCAAAAGGAGGAGTTTAAGTGTAAAGGTTTGGTATTGATTTTGTTTCCTAACAATTCCTAAAATACAGGTACACCTTTGCCTCATTCTTTCTTGGGAATATGTTTATTTTGCTTTTAACATAAGGTATGGAATGGCTTTTTCTCACTTTTTGCTTAAGGAAGTAGAAAATTAAACTTTAACTGCTGAAAACAGAATAATCACACATTAGGGAATTGGGGATTTCAATGTTTCAGGTGTTTTAGAAAAGCCTTAATAATCTGAAGTTTCACATGCTCATTTACATAACACATGGGTTCTAATACTGTTGAGGTTCACTTATTCCACATACTGAACACTAACAGCAGCATGTGCATATTTTTGAGATATCAGATGTATAATCTTGGAATGGTATTGAAATACTAAATGCATTTAAATGAACTAAAATGATTCAAGGAGAGCATATTGCACTTACAACACTTATACTCTATGCTATGGGCTTCTAAAAAGAGGTGGGTGTGATGCTGTGAAGAAAAGCAATTCCATTCTCAGTAGGTTATCACAGTGTATTTTCAGAAGTTTCTAATTGAAGGCATGCTTCATTTGCCTTGGCTATAAAAAAAACCCACATTTGCTCATGATTATGTCTGTAAATGCCCTCATAAAATGTACTCTAGCAAACACACCCACACACTTGCATATGCACACACACACATGCCTATACACACATTTTACAATTTACTTGGAAATGCTTTCGTGTAGATTACACTTCTTATTCCTTGTGTGGTTTTTCTGATATTACTAAGAGGATAGAAAAGTTAAATATTAATATAAAGTAATTTAAATATTCTGAACCATATCAAAAATCCTGAATTATGGTTTATGAATTTAATTTTAAAATAAAAATTTAATTTAATAGGAAAATGTCAAAAAGAATTGCCTAAATTATGTACTCCATATCTTGATTTTTTAAAAATCAATGATTCAATTTTTTAATGCTGTTAATTGCTTTGTTTAGATATTCTTGAAAACATTGATATTCTCCCCCATACACAGGTATACACACATGCATACATACAAGAAAACAGATAAAGTGTATTAGATATCTATGTTCAATGTATCTTTTCATCCTGTAACTTTCTATTCCTTATTGCTTTCTTATAAAGGAATAAGAGGTGTATAATAACACACTCATATTTTCAAGATAGTTGTATGGGATAATAGTTACTGTTATAGAAGAATATAGGACTGAATTACAAACTGCCTATTAGTGGTGCCTTTAGAAACAAAGATCATCATGTCAATTGCTGGTATTCAGTGTCTTCTCTTCTAGCCCCAGGAAGCTAGAGAACACCAGAGAGTAAAATAGTCACCCCCTTGAGGTCATTCTCATCACATGAGCTGCAATTCTTAATAACTTCTACCTAACAAACTCTACTTTCATGAATCCCACCCATTTTAAGATGCAAAAACTTATTTCAAAAATCGGAGGTTATCTCAGGCTTTGTGGTCATAGAGACATATGCCAAGACCTTAGATATTCCATTTAATATGCTATGTGATATTGAACAAAGATTCATCAGGTGAAAACTACAAAGTCACTGAATGAAGTAGCACAACAATAGGAGTAGAATGATTGGTCCGTAATGACTAATAAATAGTGAACTTAGTATTACCATAAAATTACCATTTTTTAGAGAGAGAGAACTTTGTTAGAACATAGGTTTCCTCTGTGTGTTATACTTTACAGATGATTAGTCATGCCTTTCAAAATATAGAGGTGTCCAAAATCAAGTCCAAACAAGCCTTAAGACCTTAATAACTGCAGGCAGTGCAATAGCTGAACATCTTTTAAACTCATCAAGAGTAGAGGGAGAGGGGGATGTACATCACACAAGAAGCAAAGCCAAAAGTGAATATTTCACATTGAAACCTACAACAAGGGTGGTTTATATCACTCTTAAATTATTCACTTATTTATTATTTCAATAACTATATTATCTATTGTAGTTTTAGCACCATTCTTGACAGACTTTGAAGACACAGTGCTGAATATTCAAGGGGCCTCTGCTCTTGTGAATTGCATGAATACAGATCTGCAGAAATAAATTATTTTGTTGAAGTTATTTCATGTATTAGTTTTTAAGTGTATGCTCCTCTCTAATAAATAAATAATTATAACAATTTTAGATGGTTGTAAAAGAAAATAAGAGCCGGAAAGTTGGTAAAATGAAAAAAAGGAAAAGGAGATCATAAACACGAGACTTGATCATATTCTGAATATAAAGAAGTAGAATAGAGCTGCCAACTGAGGTTTGTGGTTCATGCATTATTACACATATAGCTAATGCAGAGTATTTTCATTCATTCACATAATTAACATGTGTGCCATTAATGGCAATAGTAATTCAAGAGAAAGAAAATAGAAGATTAGAGCTGCACAGTCCAATAAAATCGCTATTTGCTACATCTGGCTACTTAAATTTAAATAAAATAAAACTAAAACTTTAGTTTCTCAGTCACACTAGCACATTTCAAGTGCTTAGTATCGAAATTCTGCTAATGGGTGCCATATTGAACCACACAAACACATACTATTTCCACCTATATGGAAATTTCTATTGGACATTGCTGCTTGACAGTTTTAAGTGTCAACAGGAACTGCCAGGGATAATATCTTAAAGTGTTCTGAAACTCAGAAAAAAGGCTATGATTATTGATAAATAATGTAAAACAATAAATATGAGAAAACATCTAAAAGGTGAATATCGAATTTCAGGCAGGAGGATTAAGTACAAATGTCTACACGTTGCAATAGTCAGTAGGAAAAGGTAGAAATCATGAATGAGATGATATGAAAAAATACAAAATATTTTGAGAGCAAAAAGAGAACAAAAGAAAGAAGTTTCTAAAGGATTAGACAGTCTTAAAAATAAATAAACAGCTAAATAATAAAAAACTAATAGTTATTGGAGACTAACAATCAAGAAAAAGATGACTACATTGGTGAATTAATACCTCTAATATATTTGTGTCTGCAATTGGAGTACTTTTCTTAAATAAGAGAAGTTGTAAATGAGAAAAACTTGGACTGGACCTTAAAATATTTATTTGAATAGTAATATATTTTAAATTATTTTGATTCATAATGGGAAATGAAATGGGAGACATGTAATTGAGCATGGTTCAGATTATATATTCAGCAGAAGATTAAAGAGCCATGCCTGGGCAATGGTTAATCTAGTCACCTGAATATATCTATATCTTCTGTATACATGTTACACACACATATGCATATACAAATGCACACACATACATATAGAGGTTCCAAGTGTAAGATAATTAGACTCCTTGGAGTCCCCAATGTACCTCTGTGTAAGGAATAATATAGCATTACTATATATCACCTCAAAGTATCTTTCTGCACAACATAATTCTCTGAAAGAAGTTCACTACTAGTGCCAGGACTATACCATATAAAACGGCAGTAAAAATGCCACTTTTGAGATTGCTTATAAATTCTTGGGAACAAATGATTCCCTATTAAGCTACAGTTTAGCAAGAGCATTGATGAGACACCAACTAACAAGCAGAATCACCAGTATTTATCTTGGATTATGAATATTTATCTTGGCAAAGAGTGGCTGTGCCAAGACTATAACATCGTAGAGGGTCTGGCCTTACAGAAACCAATGATTAGCAGGCAAGGCTGACTTAGAAATTGTAAAATTAGTTGTATGCAACCAGGTTTTTTAGAACAATTTTTTTTAATGGTTTTCCCTAAAAACCATTCTGAAAACACATCAGTGATTCTCACTGAACTGCAATTTCACTAAGGAAGTTTTCCTGATCCTCTCTTCTTGTCGTTGATAGTGTTGGTGATGGTCTTCTGCTGATGACTCCAGAGAAGAGGAAGAAGGACATTATATATTTAGCCTCATCTGGAGTCCATATCATTCCAGCACTTAATGGCAGTGTCACCAAGTCTACCCTATCTTACTAGCCTCTGCCAGACTAAACCAACAAATCTATAATGAGAATACTTGATTTTTTTTAACTCGAGTGTTAGGTAGATTTTAAGTGTTTAGTACAGTGTGACAGACAGAAACGTTGTAACTCTCTTTAGATTGAGACTGCCTTGTATTGTAGAAAGCAGACATCGCCATATTACAATCATCTGGTTGAAGATAGGAGGTGCTCTGCATGAACGAACTACCTCTAATGATCCCAATCATTCTGACTAATGAGGATCCTTCAACTCCTCTTTCCTTCTGCCTGTACTCCTTTCAATATTTTTCAGTCTGTTGTGTTCAGACTGAAACCTTGCTCTCTTGCTCTCTGGAATGAATTTCTCTACCATGAAGATATAATTTTGCCTCTTGATTCTCTGAGCATCATGACCTGGAACAGAAGTTCAGACATAAATAAATGAAGTTCCAACTGGCAGACTCCATGAAGGGAAGATGGGCTCCAGTCCTGTGATGGGGTAAATGGATTGTTCAACTCTAGTTGAGTCTTACCTCAGAAGAGCCAAGTCTGCATTTCTTGTAGATTATGTAAGAAGTAAATACAAACACAGATCTGCAAGACAAACTTTTTAACCCTTGTTACGTTAGACCTTTTCAGTAAATTTTAGAAGCTATTGACACATTTTTGCTTTTCTGTCTTGTAATACAGTACAAAATAAACCATTTTAGCTACAAATGGCTTTCTCTTTAGTATATAAATTTATGCTAGTGGTATGAGATTATGTAAAACATCCTCTTTCTCTGATGCAAATTGGGTAGAAACATTGATAATGTGGTTCAAGTAAAATATTATATGTAAACAAATAATCATGACACACTGCATAGGCAGTCAAGAAAAAGATAGCAAAGGTATTGAATAATCACCTAACAAACTTATATTTGTATTACATTTGATCTTTATATCAGAAAATTTAGAGTTCTTATAGTGGCAGGGACATTAATTTTCAGAACTAAGTTTCTGTAATAATTTCATTGGCTACACTGTGGCAGGTTGAAATATAAATATATTAAATGAAACCTGAAATCACATTTTTAAATGGAAAACTTTATATTAGTTAAAGTTTGCTTTTAAAAAAGCCAACTAGTTGTGAACTTAAATATCCATTGTTTCCTTTTTCTTTAATAATAGAACACAAGATTTTTAGCTGAACACATAGTTGTCTCAAATAAACAGTACAACTCCCCAGCTTCCCTTGCAGCTACTTAAACTCATGTTCATGGGTTATGGGAGTTGCATGCGGAAGTTTCATGCTTATTTGTAAGAAATGCCCTTATATAAAGATTCATACTCTTCTTTGGTCTGAACACATTCCTACTGAATGAAATATATGTGTGAGGAGTACAACTAGAATTGCCATATCAGATTATGAAGAGCACTCTGAAGACTGCAAAGCAGTTAGATGATAAGTCCATCTAGACTGCAACTGCTGTACTAATGCTGCAGTGTGTAGTTTAGTACTGATTTACATGAGATATTTTCTGTTGCGTGAGTCCATGTCATTTGTGATTTTCTGTTAAGTACAGTTGCACCTAATTGTAAAAGTGCTATAAGTTGTAATCACATCTTGACCAAGAACTTAAATATCACAAATAATAAAGTGATACAAGAGACAACATTTTGTCTCTGAAAAATGTAACCTATTTTATGACACTTTAAAAAAGAAAAGATGGGAATTGTGAGTACCATGTAGTGTACCTGACTTTTGTCAGTGGTTAAACATTCATTTTTGAAAAATGTGTTGTTTTTCTATCAATTGCTCAATAAATACATGGTTTTATTGTTTATGCTATTTAGATTTTTGCTAAGCAATATAAGAGCAAGAGGTACAAAATATTTGGGGTTTTTGTTTTGTTTTGTTTTTGAGATGGAGTGTCGCTCTGTCTCCCAGGCTGGAGTGCAGTGGCACCATCTTGGCTCATTGCAACCTCTGCCTCCTGGGTTCAAGTGATTCTCCTACCTCAGTCTCCCGACTAGCTGGGATTACAGGCATGCCCCGCCACACCCAGCTAACTTTTGTATTTTTAGTAGAGACGGAGTTTTGTCATCTTGGCCAGGCTGGTCTCAAACTCCTGACCTTAGGTGATCTGCCTGCCTCAGTCTCCCAAAGTGCTGGGATTACAGGTGTGAGCCAACACACCTGGCCGATATTTTGGTTTTTAATAAGGTTACTCTGTCTTTGAACAGCAGCCTTTACTTCACCAGCTGTGTACTCTAAAGCTGTTTACTTTGCCTGTCTGAGCCTCAGTTTCCTCAGAAGTAGGATGAAGATAGTAATAATACTTCACAAAGCTGTTGTGAGACTTAAATATGATATAAAATAAAAAGCTGTTAATATTTTACCAGACATCAAGATCATATTTAAAACTTTCATTATTGTAATGATGAAAATGAATACAGAAATGATCAATACATGAGATAAGACTACATTTGAAATGTACCACACATTTTATTTCTCACATTAATGTATTTAGATATTTATTTCACGTAAACTTCAAAATAGAACAAAAAATAAAGAATATCTTGGTCATGTGCATCAAAATGAGCTTAAAGGTAAATCTTATATTGAGTTAAGTTCTGGGAACTATAAAGGGTTAAACAATGAAGTGTAATCTAATCTAAGTGAAGTGAGTGCTTCTGCAAAATTATATTTACTCCAATTATTTTTCAGTATCCCTTCTTAAAATCTAATGGGTCAGGATTAATATAATAATTCTAGTACAATTTAGGAAACTTAGGTTTTCTAGGTTTCCCGCCTGGAGTCGGACTGTGTACAAACTAACTTATTTACTGGAGACAACCTGTTAACTAGAATTAATATAGCAATTGGCATTTTCATATGATATTTTTCTAAATTCAATAAGATATAATCAATTGATTTTAAAAAACAAGCTTTATCATTTTAGACATATTTGGAAATTTATTTCTGACTTGATTGTAGGAAAATTAGGTTTGTCAAGTCACAGAGTTCATGAGCACATCAACTAACCCAAGCAATCATGGTTACCAACAGTACAACATATGCAACTTAATGACACAATTTGCCAAAAATTACAAAAACTGAATCCCTGCTGAACTCTCTTAAGTGGGGTACCTAACTTCAGATGCTTTTGGTTTGCATAATGGCTTCCCACATGAAATAAGATAATAAGAAGCAGAAAAGACTCACAAGCAAGGCTTGACTTGTTCCAACTGCTTGTGAATTAAAAACAGCTGTGGACAGTAGGAGGTTGGTCTCTACTTAAATAAAATGTTGGCAACATAGATAATGATATCTCTTTCTTGAAACAAAATGTTAAGAATCATTAAAAGAGAAGTAAAGGACTTATAAACATTACCAAGCACTTTCAGTGAGGTAGTTATATTTTAGGAATATTTAAATTTTTCAATCCCTTGATTTCATTTTCTGTACTAGTCATTTTCTAAATTATATTTAAATCATTGCAAATATCACACAAATTTGAGCTCCTTTCTTTTTTGCAAATAAAGTTTTGAACCATGATTAATGTAAATTAACCATAGTTACATGCCGGAAACAGAGCAACATCTGATTTGTAAACAACATTCAAGTTTAATTGAGCTGTGAATATTATAAGTAATACTGGTAAGCACTAACCTGTCAAGAATAGAAGCAGATCTTCCAAAACATAAGCAATGAATACAATCATAACAGACAGTTGTGTCTGTGTGCTTTGTCTGTGCCTGTTTAAATAAATATCAAACAAGTTTGTATGATATTTGCAATGATTTACATAGACATAGACAAAGTGCATAGACACGTGCTTTCCCATTTCTAATATATATAATATATAAATGTATTATATTATTACATAATAATAGGGAATATTTGTGGACTGTCTTGTCTTTTGGTATCAATAATTTCAGAAATAAGATCTTTGGAAAGTTGTTCCTAATCATTTCAAAAATTAATGCATAACACAATTGTCTGTTATGATTGTATTCATTGCTTACATTTTGGAAGATCTGCTTCTATTCTCGGCAGGCGTGTGCCTACCAGTATTATTAATAATATTCACAGCTCAATGAAACTTGAATGTTGCTTACAAATCAGATGTTGCTCTGTTTCTGGCATGTAACAAAGAAATAGAGGACAGCATCTTGCAAACTGAAACAGAGAATGTTTTTCAAGGGATTAATAGCAGTCACTGGTTTCATGATTCAATAATTCATGATCACAGACAAAAAGGACAATTTTCCATCTCTTACTTTTTTTCCTCAGTTGTTAAAAATGTACCCATGAAAAGGTAACTTATCTTTTAGAACGTTTTTTTAAAAATTTACAATATATGCACTATGAAAATGTAATATTCATGAAAGAGAAAAAAAGGACACTATAATTAATAAATAGTACATTGTCTTTTCACTGACTTTACATTCAATTTTAGAAGAGGCAGGATCGTAGGGACAGAACTGGATGGGAGATGGATATCTTAGCTGTAGCTTGTTAGGAGTCACTAACCAGCTCTCAGATGCTGGAAAACATCTCTGCATGATTTCATTTTCTCAATAAAAGTTTGACACGAAGTCTTGGAATTAAGAATTTTAAGAGTCCAAAGGCTAATTTAAATTTTTCAAAACACCTGATTTGTAAAACAATTACTCATCAGGAAATTATGTCAACAAAAACAAAGAATCTTTGTATTTTGAGGAGTCTATGTCAATCCACTTTAGCAGCATGAATTATATCACTCTGAAGATAGTTGAAAATTTAATTGACAATATGTACCTATACAGACATACATATGTATATTGTGTATGCATTTGCACATGTATATTTGTGTGTGTGCATGCACACGCATGTCATTTCTGTGTTTCTGTGCAACACAACTTCATTTCCTGGAATATATGGTATAGAAAGTGGAAGGTAGGATTTTTTTTTATTAAAAAGTTTAGAACAATTTTGAAGGATGATCACTGTATTCCTAATATATTTCACTTCTAGAATCTCTTCCCTGCTCCCACCTCCCGATTTCAATTATCACCTCAATGCTAACATGCCTTAAATATATAACTTTCTTTGGTTCTGTCTCATATTTCAAACTGTGTACTGAACATTTTAAGTCTGTAACCTTATTATCACCTCAAAGATATCTGCTCTGTTTTCTTTCTTATTATCCCTTCCTTTCCTCTTTCAAAGAGGCCACTATTTTAGTGGTTGCTTTGGCTAAAAATTTCGCAAACGATTTTGCTGTTTTTGATGGAAGTATAACATCATATACACACAAAATTGTACAACTTGATTAATTTACCCAAAGTGAAAAGAGCACAAAATTATCACCCAGATTAAGAAGCAGAAAGCAGGGAGATTTGTGAAGGCCCTGAAAGCCAGGGAATGTGGAAATTGAATCACTAACACATAATCGCCCCCATATTGAGAGGTCTTTATTCTGCATGGAAAGCTTAGTTTGTCAATGTGAGAAGAGCAGACGAAGCTGGGAGAGTGCTTCACAATGGAAGGTGAGATTCCCAGTTTAGAGCTTAAAGGCAACTTCAGTGAGAGGTAGGCTGGGCCTTGTTACCAATTGAGAGCACCTTTTCCAGGACAAAACCTGCACCAATGAGAAACTGCTAAGAACAGAATTTAAATTGGGCAGGACAGAGACATTAAAGACAAGACAAGAGAATATCCAGATAGAGAGTGGAGAGAGGAGCAGACTAGGTAAATCTCAAGAAATCAAAGTTAGATTTTTTAACATTTCTTGATAAGAGCAGGAAGGAGTCCTTATTGTCGGTGTAAGTTAAATAGCACTACTTTAGAAATAAAAACACAGCAGAAAGACATGCCCACGCAATGTAAATATTTTAGCCTCACAGTTTAATATGAAATGAAATAACTTTAGGAAAATTCTAGAACGATTTATGAAAAAACAGAGAGTTATTAAACCTTGGTCTTAGCTTCATAGTCACCCTGCTGTACTCTGCTTTATGATGCCAAAGCAGTGGGCAAACCACATTTCTTCACCCCAAGCTGTCTACCTGTTATGCTTGACCAGTGGAAAGCACTACCCAGAGGTCTGGGAGGCTAAAGAAGAAAGAAGAGTCATGTGCTTTCCCATTTCTAGATAAATCTTATAGTCCCTGTCAGCCTGACCCTAACAATGTGTTTTAACCTGACAGCTGAAGCTCATTCCAGTAGCAGCTGTTGTTTCTTGCTTGCAGATTTGTCACGAAACTAGTTTTACTTTGTTCCCTCAGAGATACCAGCACCAGCCCAATGGCACCCCTTCCTCATAGGTCTATGTCCTAGGCCCATGGGGTCCCTCATCTGAACTCAGATACACTGACATCAACCACATATTCAATGGTACAGAATCTACCTGGAAAATTTTAACAAAATGGTCAAAGGTAAGGCATAATCTAGTAAACTGACCTGGATTTATAAAAGATAAAAGTTAATATGGGCGTGAAGGAAAAATCTGAGTCATTTATAAAGAAAAGATAGACATAAAACTTTATGTGCTTGGTGCCTTATGTAGAAGGCAATGTAGAGTCATATTTATAATCCTTAAATGAGAGCCATAATGAGCCCAGGATTTATATCAATCTGAACTGACCCTCAAATTTAACACTGCAGGCAAATTGCTTTGTGTGTAATAATTCAGAGAATCTTGTTATCTTGAACCTTCTCCTGAGAAAACAACTGGAACATGGGCTTCAGAGAGAAAAAAGTTACTAGAGTTGTTTGAATGTATAACTGGTAGTATGTGAGAGAGAGATATATATATAATATTCATACATACATATCAAATATATATATTTACATATATAGTTTATTGTAGAACTAATCATAAATAGTAGATGATGAAGATTATAGACTCCATAATGCTTATACACTCTGGGAATAAAATTATGACAAAATATCAAAAAGTACAAGAAGGGGGAAAGCACAAGACAAGTAGAGTAAGATCCCAGATTTTCACAGAGATGTTATCTGAAAGTAAGAAGGTATTACTAAAATTAGATGCTGGATATAATGGAAGGGAACAGTAAGAAGTTACTAAATAAAGATATTGTTCACAGTGAGGAATTACTATCAAAAACTAAAGTTAGACACATGCCCCCATATTCAAAGATAATATAAAACAAGGAGCACAATGAATCTCAAATGAACATAAAATTATTTTATTTAAATAAAACATAAAAATAACATAACTAAGGCCAAACATATTAGATTTATCAATAAAAGTAATAAGTTTAGTTCAAAAATAAAATGCAACACATCAATTGGCTAACAAAACAAAAGCTAAACCTGGGCTTTATGCAAGAGAAAAACTTGGAAGAAAGAAATTCAGAGCCAGGCACAGTGCTCATGCCTGTAATCCCAGCAACTCAAGAAGCTGAGATGGGAGGATTGCATGAGGTCAGTAGTTTGAGACCAACCTGGGCAATATAGTAAGACCTCATCTCTACAAAAATAAACAAATAAATAAATAAATAGCTGAGAGTGGTGGCTTACACCTGTTGTCCCAGCTACTATGGAGGCTAAGGAAAAAAGATTGATTGAGCCCAAGAGTTTGAGACTGAAGTGAGCTATAATCCTGCCTCTGCATTCCAGCCTGGGTGGCAGAGCCACAACCCAACTTAAGAAACAAAAATCACAATGGTTAAAAATAGAGAATAAAAATTCCCAATTTAGTCTCAGATATGTAAAGATCTTAAAAGCCACCACTACTGTTTGTACAACCAGAAAAGAAAACAAATTGCAACCAAGAATTTCATATCCAGCCAAACTAAACTTCAACACTGAAGGAGAAATATGTTTCTTTTTTCACACAAGCAAATGTTAGGGGAATTCATTATAGACAGGTCTGCCTTACAAGAGGTCCTAGAGGGAATACTAAACATGGAAACAAAACACTGTTGCTGGCCACCACAAAACACACTTAAGTGGATCATTGGCACTATAGACCATAGACCATAGACCATTGGCACTTTAAAGCAACTACCCAATCAAGTCTACATAACAACTGGCTAACAACATGGTGACAGGCTCAAATAGGGCAGCAAACAAACATACTTCAAAATAGTAAGAGCCATCTAAGTGAAACCCACACACAACATTATACTGACTGGGCAAAAGCTAGAAGTATTTCCTTTGAGAACCAGAACAAGACAGGAATGCCTATTCACACCACTCCTGTTGAACACCCTAGCCAGAGCAATCAGACAAGAAATAGAAAGCAAGTTGGAAGATAGGAAGTCAAACTATCTCTCTTCATGGTGCACTTGGCCAGGAAGCATGTGAAAAAATGCTCAACATCACTAATCGTTAGAAAAATCCAAATGTAAACTACAATGAGATACCATCTCACAACAGTCAGAATGGCTATTATGAAAAGTCAGAAAATAACAGATGCTGGAGCATTAGTGGAGAAAAGGGAACACTTGTGCATTGCTGGTGGGAATGTGAATTAGTTCAGTCTCTGTGGAAAGCAGTTTGGAGAGTTCTCAAATAAATGAAAACAGATCTACCACTCGGTATAGCAATCCCATTACTCAGTACATACCCAAAGAAATATTAATCATTCTATCATAAAGAAACAGGCATGCATATGTTCATTGTAGCACCACCCACAATAGCAAACACAAGGAATCAACCTAGGTTCCTATCAGTGGTGGACTGGATACATACAATGTGGTACATGAACACCAGAGAATACTAAATAATCATAAAAAAGAACAAAATCATGTCTATTATAGCAACATGGATGCAACTAGAGGTCATTATCCTAAACAAAATAATGCAAAAATGGAAAACCCAAATACTGCATGTTTTCAGTTATAAGTGGGAACTAAACATTTAATACACGTGGACACAAAAAATGAAATGATAGACATCAAGCCCTACTTCAGGTAGAGGCTGGTGGGAGGATGAGGATCAAAAAACTCCCTATCAAGTACTATGCTCAATAGCTGGATGATTAAATAATTTATGCACTAAATCCCAGTGGCACACAATTTCCTCATGTAACAAACCTGCACATGTACCCCTGAAAATAAAATAAAACATGGAAAATAGGTGAAATTCATGAAATCTTAGAAAAAGAATTCAAAACATTTTTTTCCACTACCACAGTCTCTCATAAGCTCTTTTTTTAAAAAGCTTTTATTTTAAGCTCAGGGGTACATGTGCAGGTTTGTTACATAGGTAAACTTGTGTCATGGGGTTTTGTTGTACAGATTATTTCATCACCCAAGTATTAAGCCTAGTACTCATTACTTAGTTTTCCTGATCCTCTGCCTGCTCTGACCCTTCATCTTTCCAAAGGTGCCAGTGTGTATTGTTGTTCCCCTGTATGTGTCCATGTGTTCCTATCATTTAGCTCCCACTTATAAATGAGAACATTCAGTTTTCTGTTTGTGCATTAGTTTGCTAAGGATAATGACCTCCAGCTCCATCCATGTTCTTGCAAAGTATATAATCTCGTTCTTTTTTATGACTGCATAGTATTCCATGGTGTATATTTACCACATTTTCTTTATCCAGTCTATCACTGATCAGTCTATCACTGATTGGCATTTAGGTTGCTTCTATGTCTTTGTTATTGTGAATAGTGCTTCAGTGAACATAAATGTAATATAATATATTATATATAATATTATAATATATATAATATTATATATAATATATTATATATATAATATATATTATATAATAATTTATATAATATAATTTATATTCCTTTGTGTATATGCTGAGTAATGTGATTGCTGGGTTGAATGGTATTTCTGTCTTTAGGTCTTTGAGGAATCGCCAGAGCATCTTCCACAATGATTGAACTAATTTACACTCCCACCAATGGTGTATAAGCATTTGCTTATATACCACAACCTCCCTAGCATCTGTTATTTTTTGACTTTTTATTAATAGCCTATCTGACAGGTGTGAGATTGTAACTCATTGTGGTTTTGATTTGCATTTCTCTAATAATCAGTGATGTTGAGCTGTTTTTTATATAATTGTTGGCCCCATGTATGTCTTCTTTTGAAAAGTGTCTGTTTGTGTCTTTTGCCCACTTTTTACTGGTGTATTAGTCAGAATGTTCTAGAGGGACAGAACTAATGGAAAATATATATTTTTTCATTGTAATATGTATAATACATATTATATAGTTCATTATAATATATATAATATATATATAAAGTGGAGTTTATTAAGTATTAACTCACATGATCACAAGGTCCCACAGCAGGCCATCTGCAGGCTGAGGATCAGGGAGAGCCAGTCTGAGTTCCAAAACTGAAGAAC